>NC_000006.12:13847878-13999393 GCF_000001405.40 Homo sapiens
GAGAAATTTCTCCCTGTTCTCCTCACCTGGGCGGCCCAGTGATTATTAATCCCTTTCTTTGCTGCAGTACCTGCTGTTCTCTTTGGAGTATTTATAGGGCAGCGAGCAAGAAGAACCCGTCAGCCTGTGACACCAAGATGTCAAAACATCAGAATTATAGAAAATTAAAAGGTGTGATTAATACATCGGGTTTTTAAATTACAAAAATGTTCAAATGGATACAAAAATAGAGACAATAGTATAAGGAACTCCATTTACCCATCTTCCAGCTTCAATAATTATCAACAAATCCTGTTTCATCTAGTCCCTACCTACTCTCCATCTTCCTCACCATTGGATTGTTTTGAAACAAATCCCACATGTCTAATCATTTCATCCATAACTATTTCACTATTCTAAAAGAAAAGGACTTTTTAAACATATAACACTATTACCATACATTAAAATTAACAATAACTCTTTACTGTCATCAAATATCCAGTCAGCATTCAAATGTCCTCAGTTACCTTATAATATTTTTCAAAGTTTGCCCAAGTCAGGATAGAAATAAGATCCATACATTGTATTTCATTGGCATATCACTTGATTCTCTATTAATTTTAAATTCTCTTCCTTAGGGTATTAGGGTAGCAATATAAAGAAAAGGTAAGAATCAAGTCTCATCTTATGAGTTTCACCATAGCCTTTTAAATATCACAGCAGAGATAGTAGTTAAAAGTGTTTTGAATCTTAAGCTTTTGAATATCCTGTTTTTTAAGGATTCAAATATTCATACCATAAACAGCAGATGTGGAGGAATACTTGCTGAGCCATTTTTTTTTCTTTGCCTCAGAGGAATTGAAACTATGTGGGAGCTGGGAGAAGGGTCAGAGCTGGATGGGAGAGCAACTGAGTTGGAGAGCGACTGTCCGAGTGGGCTTCAAGCCTGCCTCGGCGCCTCTCTGATAAGGACCACCAGTGGGAGAGTGTGTGGAAAAAGAATCCCTAAATATGTTTGGGGATCAGAGGTGTGGAAATAAAGACCAACCAGATGAGAAGAGGCAAAGGCTATTTATTCAGAGCTTGCTACAGCAGGGAGTCAGCCACTGTTACTTGCGCTTGGCAGCAACTCCAAGGCTGGCAGAGGAGTGGGGAAGCTTTACAGTGGAAGAAAGGGAGGGCTTCAGGTGTGCACTGATTGGAGGCTGTTGGTGTGGGAAGCTGGATTGGCTCCCTAGAAGCAGGGTGTCCTATGTGGTTGCTTAGGGGTAAATATTTACCTTTCTCTGGTTAGTACTGAATTGGAAAGAAGGACAAAAATTAGGGAAGCATCAGTTGTTAATCAAATCCTGACCATTTTTGGCCGAATGAAAAGAATTATTGTTTGCCTTCCTGGATTATTACTAGGCATAGTGATCCGACTTCCTACAAGTCTGAGTTAAGGCAGGCTGACTTCCTGGGCTGGCTATTGTAGGTAAGGGGCTGGTTTCCTGGGCAGGCTGCTGCAGGCTGTGGGTCAGTTCTTTTTTTTTTTTTTTTTTTTTTTTGAGATGGAGTTTCACTCTTGTTGCCTAAGCTGGAGTGCAATGGCGCGATCTCGGCTCACTGCAACCTCTGCCTCCTGGGTTCAAGTGATTCTCCTGCCTCAGCCTCCCGAGGAGCTGGGATTATAGGTGCACGCCACCATGCCCAGCTAATTTTTTGTATTTTTAGTAGAAGCGGAGTTTCACCATGTTAGCCAGACTGATCTCGAACTCCTGACCTCAGGTGATCCGTCCACCTCAGCCTCCCAAAGTGCTGGGATTACAGGCTTGAGCCACCGCTCCCAGCCCCTTTTTTTTGTTTTGTTTTGTTTTGTTTTGTTTGAGCCGGAGTCTCACTCTGTCACCCAGGCTGGAGGGCAGTGGCTTGATCTTGGCTCACTGCAAGCTCCACCTCCCGGGTTCAAGCAATTCTCCTGCCTCAGCCTCCCGAGTAGCTGGCATTAGAGGCACGCACCACTACATCCAGCTGATTTTTGTAGTTTTAGTAGAGATGAGGTTTCACCATGTTACCCAGGCTGGTCTTGAACTCCTGACCTCAGGTGATCCACTCGCCTGGGCCTCCCAAAGTGCTGGGATTACAGGTGCGAGCCACCGCGCCCGGTGCCAGTTCTATTTTTATACAGGGTCTGGCCATCATCTGTTTATATATTCAGTCTCTCAGACGGTGGAGAGGCCGCCTGAGCTGCACTTCCCAGGTGGGCCTTGCTAAGTTCTTCTCCTGCCAATCAGCTGTGACAGGCATAGAGCAGATAGGTGAGGAACCGATAAAACTTCCTGAGTGAGTGGCAGGGAAAATATCCAAAGTTCCCAGGCTCTTTCTCAGAGCTTGGCAAGTGCTGAGGGAGGGCCCTGCTGTCCTGGGAGGCCACGTCCTGGGAATAAAGAGCAACCTGCCCAGTGCAAGCACCGGAGACCAGATGGGAACAAGGGGCTTATTACTCAGTGCTCAATCTTTGCTCTTTAATGGTCTTCTTAAAAGCATTTTTTTCTTTACCATTACAAACATGACACCATTTCAGTCTGATATGGTTTGTCTCTGTGTCCCCACCCAAATCTCACCTTGAATTGCAATCTGAATTGTAATCCTCTGGTGTTGAGGGGAGGGACCTGGTGGGAGGTGACTGTTCTCATGATAGTGAGGGAGTTTTCAAGAGAGCTGATGGTTTTATTTATTTTTATTTATTTATTTGTTTGAGATGGAGTCGCGCTCTGTTGCCCAGGCTGGAATGCAAAGGCGTGATCTCAGCTTACAGCAACCTCCACCTCCCAGGTTCAAGCAATTCTCCTGCCTCAGCTTCCTGAGTTGCTGAGATTACAGGCACCCGCCACCATGCCTAGCTAATTTTGTATTTTTAGTAGAGTGGGGGTTTCACCATGTTGGCCAGGCTGGTTTCAAACTCCTGATCTCAGGTGATCTGCCCACCTCGGCCTCCCAAAGTGCTAGGATTACAGGCGTGAGTCACCGTGCCCAGCCACGAGAGCTGATGGTTTTAGAAGTGTTTGGAAGTTCCCCCTTCACACTGCTCTCTCCCCTGCTGCCATGTAAGATGTGCTTGCTTCCCTTTTGCCTTCTGCCATGGTTTTAAGTTCTCTGAGGCCTCCTAGCCATGTTTCCTGTTAAGCCTGTGGAACTGTGAGTCAATTAAACCTCTTTTCTTTATAAATTACCCAGTCTCAGGTATTCTTTATAGCAGTGTGAAAACAGACTAACACAAGTCCCATGGTGGCCCTGTGTTATTAGCTACATTTTCTTATTTTCTGGCATGTAGGGCCTTGGTCCTGGAGAGGCTGCCCCTCTGGGGCTAGCTAATTCCTAGATAGTAAAAGACTCCCAGGAGCATGCTTTTATACAAACCAATCAACCCAGAGCCCACGCCTCCAACCGTCTCCTTTGTCAAACTCTCCAAGCCAAGCCAATAATCCCCCTGCCCCAAATTACCACTGTACCAGGTACCCAGACAACTAGGGATCATCCCTGTAGGCCAGAGCCCTTTGGAGTTACTCACAGGATGCAATCCTAAACTTCCTCTGCATATGTGTGCTGCCTTGCGACAATCCCAATAAAGGCTCCAGGCCATGCTGTAACCTTTGTCCTTCTGCCTCCTCAGGGTCCCTGGTGCTTCCCTGTGTGGCATGCACACCTCCCATTTCTAGGAATCTGGGAGTAGGAAGTCCTTCCTTCATGACAATCATTTCTCTGTCTGCAGGTCTCACTATACCTGATTAAAACAAGTCCCAGGTACATTTTAACATACCCTGTCAGAAGACGCTATGGTCTGAATGTGTGTGCCCCTCAAAACTCCAATGTGATAGGATTGGGACGTGATTAGGTTATGAGAGGGGAGCTCTCATGAGTGGGATTATTGCCCTTATAAAAGAGGTCCCAGAGAGATCCCTCACCCCTTCCACCAAGTGAGGACACAGATAGAAGGCGCCATCTATCAACCAGGAAGCAGGTCCTCACCAGACACTAAACCTGCTTGTGACTTCATCTGAGACTTCCAGCCTCCAGAAATGTGAGAAATTTTTCTTTCTTTTTCTTTCTCTCTCTTTTTTTCCTTCTTTGTTCTTTTCCTTTCTTCTCTCTCCTTCCTTCCTTCTTTCCTTCCTTCCCTCCTCCCTTCCTCCCTCCCTCTCCCTCTCCTCCCCTCCTCTTCCCTGCCCTCCACTTCCCTTCCTTCTCTTTTCTTTTTTTTTCTTTCAACAGGATCTCACTCCTTTCACCCGGGCTGGAGTACAATGGCATGATCTTGGCTCACTGCAGCCATGACATCCTGGGTTCAGGTGATCTTTCCACCTCAGCCTCCTGAGTAGCTGGGACCACAGGCACATGCCATCGTAGCCAGCTTATATTTGTATTTTTTGTAGAGATGGGGTCTCCCTATGTTGCCCAGGCTAGCCTCAAATTCCTAGGCTTAAGTAATCCTCCCACCTCAGCCTCCCAAAGTGCTGGGATTACAGGCATGAGCCATCGCACCTGGTGAAATAAATTTCTGTTGTTTATTGTTTATAAGCTACCTGGTTTGTGGTATTCTGTTATATCAGCCTGAATGGGCTAAAACAGAAGGTTTTACTATTCTCATTTAAAGATAGGTTAACTGGAACTTGGAGCAGTGTAGTATTTGCTAAGCTGGTGAATTATGGAATTGGAATACAAATCCAGATGATTCTCCTACCTTCACCCAGATGCCTAAAGAGGATGGCCTCCGCCATGTTCTTCATAGATGCTTCCTCTGCTAATCTCATTCTCAAAACTTTGGTGAAGGCCATGTCTTTTGGCCCGCTGAGAGCCACAGTTAGGGGCGGGGCAGCAGGTATGAGGTGTGATGCATGAGGTCACACATCACTAATCCACTGCACAGTCCCATCTCCCCAAGTCCTCAGGTTCCTTCCTCCAAACCAAAGAATTTCTGGCCTCTCAACTTCAGTTGGGGGCAACCTCCACTGGATCCAGTTTAGTCCATCCAGTGAGAAAGCAGCAAGAATCCCTCCTAGGTTCATGGACTTCCTAGCACCCCGAATCCAGAGTCTCAGGTAATCTCGCCACATAGATGACACTGGTTTCATCTAATTACATTCTTCCCTTTTTGGTCTAGCCCCTTAAGGATCTATTCCCACACCCGTTCTCTAGGGTATTGGAAGGTCCACAAACCGGGCATTTTTTCTGCTGTGAAACTAAACATTGCCTTGGAGCCTTTTTTTTTTTTTGAGACAGGATCTTGCTCTGTTGCCCAGACTAGGGTGCAGTGGTGCAATCATAGCTCACTCAACCTCCTGGGTTCTGTCTCAGCCTTCTGAGTAGCTAGGACTTTAGGTGTGTGCCACCATGCCCAGCTATTTTATTTTTTGTAGAGATGGGGGTCTTGCTGTGCTGCTCAGGCTGGTCTCAAAACTCCTGGGCTCAGTTCATTCTCCTGCCTTAACCTTCCAAACCGCTAGGATTATAGGTGTGGGCCACTGCACTTTGCCAAATTGTCTTTTGAATTGACCCCCTAGGGACAAAGTAAGATCTGACTATCTAGGTTTCGGAGATGAGAGATGGAGGTAGGGGGTATGATGACAGTTGCCAGCTGAGTTTCTTGAAGGTCATTCCAGGGTCCTCAGGCAAGCCAAGGCCAGCCTCAGAGATGGGATGAAATCTACTTCTTCTAGATGAACTCTAGATGAACTCTAGATGGGAGTTTTTTTGAGATTCAAGTACTCTGAATAACCAAATTTTTCAACATCCACATTTTAAAAGATTTTTGGAAAATGATTGAGGCTTTTTCTTAGCTCTGTTTAATTTTTACCTTGTGTTATGGCTAATAAAGAGCTTGCATAGGAAACTACAGCTCTGCCATTTTTTTATTCACTTGTGCTACTGTGTCTGGAATTGGTGGGTTCTTGGTCTCACTGACTTCAGCAAAGATGCCACAGGCTCTCACAGTGAGTATCACAGTCCTTAAAGGTGGTATGTCTGGAGTTTGTTCCTACCCATGTTCACACGTGTTCAGAGTTCCTTCTTTCTGGTGGGTTCAATAGTCTTGCTGGCTCAAGAGTGAACCTATAGACCTTCACAGAGCTAAACTTCTTAAAACAGGACATGTAGAGTTCTTCAGTTATTCATTTTTCCCTCACGATCTCACTAGCTCTACTCAAGAACAAAGCAGCAGACCTTCACAGCAAGTATTACAACTAACAAAACACAGTATGGATCCAAACAGCAGTAACAACATTCATTACAAACAGCAAAGTTTCCACAACATAGAAAAGAACACAAGTAATTACCACTACAGTCTCCGGCAGCCTGCTTTTATTCTCTTATCTGGCCCCACCCACATCCTGCTGATTGGTAGAGCCGAGTGGTCTGTTTTGACAGGGCGCTGATTGGTGCGTTTACAATCCCTGAGCTAGACACAAAGGTTCTCCACGTCCCCACCAGAGTAGCTAGATACAGAGTGTGGATTGGTGCATTCACAAACCCTGAGCTAGACACAAGGTGCTGATTGCTGTGTTTACAAAGTTTGAGCTAGATACAGACTGCCGATTGGTGTATTTACAATCCCTGAGCTAGATACAAAGGTTCTCCACGTCCCCACCAGAGTAACTAGATACAGAGTGTCGATTGGTGCATTCACAAACCCTGAGATAGACACAAGGTGCTGATTGGTGTGTTTACAAACCTTGAGCTAGATACAGAGTGCCGATTGGTGTATTTATAATCCCTGAGCTAGACATAAAAGTTCTCCACGTCCACACCAGACTCAGGAGCCCAGCTGGCTTCACCCAGTAGATTGTGCACCTGTGCTGCAGGTGGAGTTACCTGCCAGTCCTGCTCCGTGCGCCTGCACTCCTCAACCCTTAGGGCCCTGGAGCAGAGAGTGTGGTGTTTGTCTAGGAGGCTCAGGGCCGCACAGTGAGCCTGTGGAGTGGGTGGGAGGGTGAGGCGTGGAAGGCTGTAGGTCCCGAGCCCTGTCCTGCCGGAAGGCAGCTAAGGTTTGGTGAGAAATTAAGCGCAGCGCTGGTGGGCTAATACTGCTGGGGGACCCAGTACACTCTCCGCCGCCGTTGGCCTGGGTGCCAAGTCTCTCGTTGCCTGGGGCCGGCAGGGCCGGCCGGCTGCTCCGAGTGCTGGGCCCTGCCAAACCTACGCCCAACCGGAACTCCAGCTGGCCCGCAAGCGCTGCGCGCGGCCCCGGTTCCCGCTCGCGTCTCTCCTTCCACAACTCCTTGCAAGCTGAGGGAGCCAGCTCCGGCCTTGGCCAGCCCGAAAAGGGGCTCCCAGTGCAGCAGTGGGCTGAAGAGCTCCTCAAGTGCCGCCAAAGTGGGAGCCCAGGCAGAGGAGGCGCCGAGAGCGAGCGAGGGCTGTGAGGACTGCCAGCACGCTGTCACCTCTCACTAACATCATACACATCTTCCACCTGAGGTCTATCCATGGGTGTTTTAACTTGCCAAGGCTCTGTAACAAAGTACCACAAACTGGGTGGCTTAAATAACAAACTTGTTGTCTCACAGTTCTTGAGGCTGGAAACCCAAGATCATAGTGTCAGCAGGGTTGGTTTCTTCTGGGGCCTCTCCTCTTGGCATGTAGATGGCGTCTTCTCCGTGTGCTCTCAAATCATCTTCTCTCTGTGTGTGTCTGTTTAAATGTCCCCTTCTCATAAGGACACCATCATATTCGATTAGGGCACTCTCATGGCCTTACTTTAACTTGATTACCTCTGTAAAGACCCTATCTCCAAAATAAGGTCATATTTTGAGGTACTAGGGGGTTAGGACTTGAACATATAAATTTTAAGGAGACAAATTCAATATGTAACAATGGATATCTTCTTAAGACGCATGTGTATTTAGTGACACCAGTTCCATCTAATTACGTTAGTTTAGGTAACATTAGATATCATAATTCTTAAATTGGGTTAACTAGCACTGGTAAACTAATTATCAGCAACTCTTTCAAAATAAATGATAGTGGGAGGGGCTGCCACAAATTCTCATTGTAGTGAAATTCCTCCTTTCCCCTCACGGCACCTCACCTGCTATATACGGCATATGACCTTAATACGTATGGAGCATGTTGGGGCAGAGTCAAGCTGTATACTAAACATGGGTAATATTTTATTTCCTATTCTTTAAGGTAAAAATAAATATTCTAGTTCTAGTGTGTGTGTTTTATTTTAACTTTGGAGACTACTATTTTATTGAAGTGCCTTTCTGTCCAAATAAAACGGTCTCCAACTGGAAGGAATAAAGGTACATTTTAGAGAGAATGAAAGAGACCTAGCAATCCTTACCACTAAAATAGCTGTCATAGCTATGAATAAGGAAGGTGTTCCTCCACGTGGAGTGAAGGAGCTGCAACCATTGATTTAAAGGAGACATACCCGTCAAAGAGGCACCAGTGAAGAGCTTCAGCCAGTGGCATGCTTAGCAAGATGGCCCCGAATCAAAGACATTCCTAATTCAAAAGTCATGTTCCCCCACAACTCCTTGCACAGCTGAACAAGCCTAGGTTGACGTATATTTGTACATCACTTTATTAATAACAAAATAGTCGTTTGATGAAATAAAACATTTATTACATGAACAAACTTTAAAACTTCAAACCTAAAATCAACAAGATAAATGCAATATTCTGCTAATGCAACAATGGATTTTGATATTACTTGACATTAACAGAATAACAATAATTTCTTCAATATCCTTTTTTCCCAGCTCTTTGAGGTTGTATGCCTTGAGGTGCTAACTCTGTTTTTGGCTATTGCCCTGTAGGATAGGTTTATGAAACGGTTTTGAATTGTCTGTAGTTAGCCCAGTCCTTCTCTTGCTGTTGGAATCACTGGCGAGCTTGTTAAAACATAGATTGCTGGATCCACCTCCTTTCTGATTGAACAAGTTGGGGGTTGAGTGGGGTGAGAACTTGCTTTTTTTTTTTTTTTTGAGACGGAGTCTCACTCTGTCACCCAGGCTGCAGTGCAGTGGCACGATCTTGGCTTACTGCAACCTCGACTTCCCAAGTTCAAGGGATTCTCCTGCCTCAGCCTCCCAAGTAGCTGAGACTACAGGTGTGCACCACTGCACCCAGCTAATTTTTGTATTCTTTTTAGAGATGGGGTTTCACCATATTGGCGAGGCTGGTCTCGAACTCCGGACCTCGTGATCCACCTGCCTCAGCCTCCCAAAGTGCTGGGATTACAGGTGTGAGCCACCACGCCGGCCCCAAGAACTTGCATTTTTGACAAGTTTTAACGTGCTGACATTGCTATGTGGGGACTGCACTTTGAGAACCACTGTTCTGAAGCACTTGTCTGTTTTCTTTATTTGTAATGATTTTTTTGTTTGTTTCTTTTTGAGATGGAGTCTCACTTGGCCGTCCAGGCTAGAGTGCAGTGGTGCAGTCTTGGCTCACTGCAACCTCCTTCTCCTGGGTTGAAGCAATTCTCCCTGCCTCAGCCTCCTGAATAGCTGGGATTACAGGTGCCTGCCACCATGCCTGGCTAATTTTTGTATTTTTTTAGTAGAGATGGGGTTTCACCATGTTGGCCAGGCTGGTCTTGAACTCCTGACCTCAGTTGATCCACCTGCCTGGGCCTCCCAAACTGCTGGAATTACAGGCGTGAGCCACCACACCCGGCCTGTAATGATTTTTGATACCCTTTTAATTGAAAACTGAAGCAATTGGCAAAGCCTAAATGCATGCTATTTTATACTCTTTTGTAAAATGTTACTTTTGACTGACTATCCGAACCTGTGATTCTACTGGTAATAACTCTACCAAGTTACAAGATGCTTTTTTTTGTATGGCTCTACATTTCTCCCAATGGACTTTTCACCCATTTGTGTTGGCGTAAGAAATACATTTGTATAAGTCAGCAGCTGTATCTTGTGTTTTGTTTAGGGAATTGTGGATAATATTAACTTTAATATACATTTCTGTATTGCCAGTTCATCAAAAAGGAGGCTTGCGATTGTTCCCTGTTTATTTAAAAATTGACATTTTAGGTTTCATTTCTGCATAGTAGATGTTGCTTCCTTAATGGTTATGTTAAAATTCATTTCTATTTTAAAAACTTGACCATATGATGTTTCCAGGAAGTATAAACCTTATCAAACATCTGTTCTAATTTTTCTTGGTAAAATCATTGCTGTTGCATTAACATTCAATAAGATTTTTGCATTCATACTGTGAAAAGTTTTTTAAATCAAAGTTTTGAGTGTTATTGTTAATCCAAACAGCCTAAGAACTTTTATTATCTTTCACTAATTCAAAGAAGATTTTTTTGCACAGTGCCTCTATTAGTCTGGAAAATTCAGTTTCATAGAAATTGAAGCTATAAAGGGAATATTAACTTGTTCAGAATTTAAATTCTTTGATATAGTGTCTGAATTTCTTGGGATGGAATTTGTGGCAATCTCAAGAATTCACACAGTAGGTAAAAAACGTGTATTTTGAACAATGCCAAAATAAATGGGTATGTCTGGTGCTTGCTTACTGCCTTTTTACTTAAGAAATTTGAGATTCTGAATCAGGTGGTGTATGTTGTCTTTCTCTTAGGCCTGCTTTTATGCATGAATATACTCAATTTATTGTATTATTCTACCATAGCCCTGCCTGTAACATTTTGAAATCTTCTAATCATTACAATTAACGTGTCCCCCAAATGAATGTAATTCCCAAAGTTGAATCATACTCTCTAACAGCAAAATCAAGAAATGGTTTCTTTATATTTTGTTTATTTCCTTTTTCAAAAAATTGGATCAATGGGATGTATTTGCATTCTAAACTCAGTTAATTATTTTGAAAAATATTTTGAGTTAAACAATGAAAGCAAAATATGGAAGTTCCTTAATTTCTCTAGTTATTTTATTAAAGTTGGCCAAACCATTCAATAATTTAATTTTGCATTTTAGGACTTAGCTATGTTATAAATCCAAAAGCTGCTCAATGCTTACATCATATTCTATTGAAAGCTTTGTGTTCAATAAATACTTTTACACATTAAAACTTTCGAAAAGCCTTATTGGAGTGTGTAAAGTTACAAAAACAACAAGTGCCTGTTAAGCGATAGGGGGTTTATAATTCAAGTTCAAGATATCCTACTTTAATTTTGCTCTTGTGAAGTATGTTCTCTGTGCTAAAAAACCATATATTTATATCCTGTAGTTATTAAAACGTAAAAAAATGGAAAGATGCTAATCTTATCGCTTTATAGTTTGATTTGTTCACAACATTATATCATGGACAGATTAATCTTCAGGTTAAAGAGTTTTGCTGTAAGGGCACGGAAAAATGAGATGGAAGCTAGAGAGGTAAGATATTTCTTTCTTCTGAAGAAGCTATAAAATGAATATTTTAAAATATATTTTAAGTGAATGCTTCAAGTCATTGTCAGCATATTAAGTTGGGTCAACTTAGAGGCGAGATATTTCTGAAATAACTAATATTTTGGAAATACTTCATTAACTCTATAAGCGTTATTTTATACTATGTTGTTTTGTACTTGTGAATACTGTGAGATTATTTTCACTATATCTCAATCTTAAATGATTCAGCAGTGCAATTCATTTTCTATGGGTGTTTTGGCCACTAAATAACATTTCCAATTTGAAGATTCTTTACCTCCTGATGTTTTTTGGATTAGGAATCTATGTTGCTTAAAATAAAACACGAAATTATTGTTTTGTCAGTACTAAGATATATAGACATATTTGTAACTGATGGTGAAGCATAGCTAATTTTCAGATTTTTTGAAATTTTCATTTTCAGAATTTTGGTTGCATCATATTTTGTTTACATGCCTTCTCTTATAGAGCTGCAAAAACTCCCTATATTAAATAGATTAGCCCTTTTTCCTGTGTCTTGCAAATGTTTTTATACTTTATTATTTGTGTTGGTTTTGATGGATGAAATTTACATTTTATGTAGTCAAATTGAGAGGTGACAGCATGCTGGCATCTCTCGCAGCCCTCGTTAGCTCTCGGTGCCTCCTCGGCCTCAGCGCCCATTCTGACTGCGCTTGAGGAGCCCTTCAGCCCGCCGCTGCACCGTGGGTGCCCTTCTCTGGGCTGGCCGAGGCCGGAGCCGGCTCCCTCGGCTTGCGGGGAGGTGTGGAGAGAAAAGCACGGGCGGAAACCGGGGCTGCGGGAGGCGCTTGCCTTGAGGAGCCCTTCAGCCCGCCGCTGCACCGTGAGTGCCCTTCTCCGGGCTGGCCGAGGCCGGAGCCGGCTCCCTCGGCTTGCGGGGAGGTGTGGAGGGAAAGGCAGGGGCGGGAGCCGGGGCTGCGGGAGGCGCTTGCGGGCCAGATAGAGTTCGGAGTGGGCGTGGGCTCGGCGGGCCCCGCACTCGGAGTGGCTGGCTGGCCGGCCCTGCCACCCCGGGCAGTGAGGGGCTTAGCACCCAGGCCAGCAGCTACGAAGGGTGCGCCGGGGTCCCCCAGCAGCGCTGCCCCACCGGTGCTGCGTTCGATTTCTCGCCGGGCTTTAGTTGCCTCCCCGCAGGGCAGGGCTCCGGACCTGCAGCCCGCCATGCCTTGAGTCCCACCCCGCCTTCGCTGTTGGCTCCTGCACGGCCTGAACCTCCATGAACGAACGGCGCCCCCTACTCCACCGCGCCCGGTCCCATCGACCCCGAAGGGCTGAGATCGCGGGCCCGCAAGCCGCGGGACTATCAGGCAGCTCTACCTGCGGCCCCAGTGGGAGATCCACTGGGTTAGACAAGCTGGGTTCATGAGTCTAGTGGGGACTTGGAGAACCTTTGTGTCTAGCTAAGGGATTGTGAGTGCACCAATCAGCACTCTGTGTCTAGCTCCAGGTTTGTGAACACACCAATCAGCACCCTCTGTCTAGCTCAGGGTTTGTGGATGCACCAATCGGCACTCTGTATCTAGCTAATCTGGTGGGGACTTGGAGAATCTTTATGTCTAGCTAAGGGATTGTGAATGCACCAATTGGCATTCTGTATCTAGCTCAAGGTTTGTAAATGCACCAATCAGCCCTCTGTGTCTAGCTCAGGATTTGTAAATACACCAATCCACACTCTGTATCTAACTTTTGTGTGTAGCTCAGGGATTGTAAACACACCAATCGGCACCCTGTCAAAACAGACCAATCAGCTCTCTGTAAAACTGGCCAATGGGCTCTCTGTAAAATGGACCAATCAGCAGGATGTGGGTGGGGCCATATAAGAGAATAAAAGCAGGGTGCCTGAGTCAGCAGTGGTAAGCCAGTCAGGTTGTTTCCTGGGGATGTGGAGGGTTTGTTGTTTTACAGGGGTTGTTGTTTTACTCTATAATTAAAGTTTATAATTCAGTTTTTTGAGTTTTGTGAGTTGCAACAGTCGTTGATTAAAAATGTGCGGTTTCATTCCCGAAGTTGATGAGCGTATTAACGCACCGGGGAAAATCAGTAACTCCAGATGTGGGGCATCAAGAGCTGTTATACTCCCTGAGTAAGGGTTGTGGTTTCATTTCTGAGTTGGTGATGATCGTGAACCCAGCAAAAGGAAGAAAGTGATTACATCCAAACGTGAGCAGGAGGAAACTCGGAACATACTGTTTTTAAGAACTAGTATCACTAGAGTTTGCAGCTTTAAAGTCTAGACTAAGAACGCACGAATTCTGGACACAGTTTATCGGTCTTCTCTCGTGGATACTGGGTCTCACCTCAAACATGTCTCTTGAGTGGGGCACAGTGGCTCATGAGTGTAATCCCAGCACTTTGCGAGGCTAAGGGGGGAGGGTCACTTGAGTCCAAGAGCTGGAAACCGACCACACAAATAGTGAGATGCGAACAAAACAACACCTAGCCAGGTGTGGTTGCATGGCATGGGCACGTAGTCCCAGCTATTTGGGAGGCTGAGGTGAGATGATTGCTTGAGCCCAGAAGATTGAGACTGCAGTGAGCTGTGATTGCATCACTGCAGCCCACCCCGGGTGACAGAGCAAGACTCTGTCTCAAAAGGAAAAGGCCTCTTCTTTAAGCTAATTCACTAAAGTTTTTACTTAAGTTTTCTTTTTCATAGTTTCATTTTTAATGTTTACTTCTTTGATTCGTTTGGATTTTTAAGAAAGAGTAAGGTAGAAATTCAATTTTTTCCCCACACAGCTGGCCAGTTGTCTCAACACCATTTGTTTCATATGCCGCTGATTTGAAATACCAGCGTTATATGTCAAAGTCCCATATAAACTTGGGGTCATTCCCAGATTCTCTGTTCTGTTCCACTGATATGTCTTTTTCCGCAATGTTACCATGTATTTGAGAACATCACTTGCTTTTATTTTTTTCGTTCTAAAAGTAATATCCTGCTTATAATATTTATGTAATTCTTCATCATAGTCACCAATGAAATTAATATTGAATTAAAGTTCAGAAACAAGTTCCACGGTGGTAAAACTGATTTTTGTTCATTGTTCAGGGTCTCCCTGAGATATACTTCCTTTCCTGCCATCTCTAAAAATGCTCATTTGTCTCCTTGATTCCTTTCCCCACTGTTTACCTTGCTCTATTTCCTCTTTCCTATGAGAACTTTGTCCATATGCGCATAGGTACACCGAGAGGGAAGTGTTTGCTATGGCTGTTTCTTCACAAAATTGAATGTCTTCCAAATTTGCGTCTGGTCAGTGGTCAGTCGACCCAGCTGGGTATACCCCTCATAGCTCCTGTATCCAAGGCAATGCGTTAGCTGTATCAGTTCAATTTTACCCTTGGCTACACTGTGGGGTAGAGGGCTGATGGTGGTTGTGGCTTTTTAGGGACAAGTTGTAAAAACTCTATAGCTCTAGGTCCCCCGATTTCCAATCTTAGAGGAAGTGCACTAACTCTGACACAGGAAGAATGAAAAACATTATGGATGGGCAGTACAGATGGTGGCATTACCACAGTAGTGTGATGGGACCTAACAGGGTAGCCAAATACAGATTATTGTAATTCAGCTTAAGTTTTTCTTGTTTCCATAATTCAGAAAGAGCCTTTCTAGAGACACATAATCTAGAGATTTATTTTTCAATGAAAGTAATGAAACAAATGAGGCTACCTTCTAGTTTTGTTTTGTTTTTTAGACAGAGTCTCACTCTGTAGCCCAGGCTGGCATGCAATGACGTGATCTTGGCTCACTGTAACCTCCACTTCCCAGGTTCAAGTGATTCTTGTGCCTCAGCCTCCTGAGTAGCTGGGATTACAAGCACCTGCTGCCACACCTGGCTAATTTTGTATTTTTAGTAGAGACGAGGTTTTACCATGTTGGCTAGGCTGGTCTCAAACTCCTGACCTCAGGTGATCTCAAATTGCCTGCCTCGGCCTCCCAAAGTGCTGGATTACAGGCATGAGCCGCTGGGCCCAGCCTACATTCTACTTTTAAGTGAGAACCTCCTGAAAAATTGCTCATCTCCTATACAACATGGTAGTAAAGAATGAACATCTTTGCTTTAAAAAAGGAAACTGTTGAGTAAGCAAGACAGTTAAAGTATTTGAGTATATTTATCATAACATTGAGGGATAAATGTGAAAAAATATAATGAAAATATGACTTTTTGGTTACAACATGATCAGTTAAGAAACAAAATTTGCAATAATCATACCACTGCTGATTATTATAAACCTATTATATTTTAGGATTCACATAATACAATTCTAGAATTCAAAGAAAAAAAATCCCATCCAAAAAATAATAGATTAGGCTATATGTAAAAATTGACATGTAATAGATTAATGTAAAAATGGACAATTTCTGCATTATACAATAAAACTGTGTTTTGAAGTATAGTATATTCATAGAAAATTTGAGGTACAGTAAAGTCAACAGATCAGGAGATGGCTGCCATTGATAAGATAACTTGTTACAGTTCCCAAGAGGCAGGGGCATGACACACCATGGGAGGTCACATGAGAAGCACCAGGGTCAGTTAATAGTCAGAGGGAGGGAGAGGGACTGTGTACAAAGGCCTTTATTATGGTTTCTCAAGAAAGAAACAGGTGAGACAGGGTAAGCAGGCTTAGGATTGGCTAGTGTGAATAATTTTAGTCGGTTCTGGGGCCTAGGGGGCTCTCCCTGGTTGTCTGGTACCTGATTCTTGGGTTATTAGGACAGGTGGATAGTGGCCTGGAATGCAAAAGCAAGATAAAGGAGGTGGCTGGTGTGTGGGCCCTGGATTTGTTTGTTGACATTTGACAAGTATGCTCAAAGGTGAGTCATTTACTATCTCTAGGAATTAGTTAACCCCGGAATGGGCCAGCTCCTTCAGGGTCAGCAAAGCTCCAAGAGGTCAAAGCACCAGAATAGAAAATAAAAGACATACTTAACACATTCTACAATATCAATTTCTAAAAATATAATATAAGCTTCCCAATGTATAGAATATGTTCATCTTAAATAACTCCAGACCGAATGACCATTTATACCTAATACTCCCACATGGTCACAGATTGATGTCCTCATTGTCTCTATTTCACATGGCAGTAAGATGAGAAATAAAGGAGCCTCAATTCTTACATAATTGTAATTGTTTTATGAGAAAAGGAGGGTTAGGAGGTAGAAGTTATAGAATAGTAACTGTTATAATAAAAAGTTATTTTTCCTATAGGCATTTCAATGTAAGGGTGCTGCTTTTATTATAAATGCAGAGCTAAACAACCAAAATACCACTGGGCAAATCCAATATTTAATTATATCTACTTTTTTTTAAGGTTTTTCTTTTCCTATTATTACCACTACTCTATTGTTGGGGAACACTCTTTATATATATTTCTCATGTTTTTTCACATTTATCACTCAATGTTATGATAAAACACAAATTGTTTTAATTTTAATTTTTTATTTTACTTTAAGTTCTGGGATACATGTGCAGAACGTGCAGGTTTGTTGCATAGGTTTACATGTGCCATGGTGGTTTCATGCACCCATCAACCCATCATCTAGGTTTTAAGCCCTGCATGCATTAGGTATTTGTCCTAAGACTCTCCCTCCCCTTGCCCTCCACCCCCTGACAGGCCCCGGTGTTTGATCTTTCCCTCCCTGTGTCCATGTGTTCTCAATGTTCAACTCCCACTTATGAGTGAGAACATGCAGTGTTTGGTTTTCTCTTCCTCTGTTAGTTTGCTGAGAATGATGACTTCCAGATTGATCCATGTCTCTGCAAAGGACATGAATTCATTCTTTTTCATGGCTGCAACACAAACATTTTTGAACAAAATAATCAAATTAGTCAACGGCATTTTTTAAAGCAAAGAATGTTAATTCTTTTATTACTCTGTTGTATACAACAGAGGTGTATACAGGTGTAAAGGAGGTGAATAATTTTTTTCACCAGGAAATTCTCATGTAAGAAGGATACTCTTTACCAAGGAGTTTAGTGGAGATTAGGGTTTGACCAAGAGGAAGGAAGTTCTAGAGAAGGAGAGAAGGAAGAAAGAGAGGCCCCTTGGAAGGAAAGTATCTGGGAGAGTTTCAGGAGGGAAGTGAGAGTGAGAAGAGGCTCAGAGGCACAGCGGCCACGGAGGAATTTGAAAGAAGTAGAAAGAAGAGGCAATGGAGCCTCCTCATTGGTCTTGGAACTATAAAAATAACATCTGGAAGTATTTTTAGTGACTTTTGTGGTGTTCTTTTTTTCTTTGAATCCTAGAACTGGATTATGTGAATCCTAAGATATAATAGGTTTATAGGAATCAGCAGTGGTTTGATTATTGCAAATTTTGCTTCTTAATTAACTGATTCTGTTGTAACCAAAAAGTTCTATTTTGGTTATATTTTTGCACATGTATCACTCAATGTTATGATAAATATACTCAAATGGTTTAGAGTAACTATGTAGCTCACTCAACAGTTTCTTTTTTTGTTAAAGCAAAGGTGTTAATTCTTTGCTACCATGTTGTATAAGGAGATGAAGAATTTTATTCACCAGGAAATTCCCTTTTAAAACTAAAATGAAGCCTTATTTGCTATTTTGTGTCCTTAATTGCTACAATATGGTACTTTTCAACCTAAGGAAATTTCTTTGATTAGTATAGTGATTTTTTTGTATATTGAGTTGAGAAATCGTTTATTTGGAGACAATTAACTTTTCCTTTTTATATATATGTTCAAAGCTTTTTTTTCTGATTGCTACATTTCTATTTTGAGTAGTATAGTTGTGTTCTTTCAGTGGCTTGTAATATGGTTAAAAATATTATACTTTGTGCTTTCTTCCCCCTTAACATATGTTTATAATAGACTTCAGAGATACTTGTGTATTTTCTATTTCAGATGTATGGTTTAAATAACTATATGGAATCCATAATAATTACTGTTCTTTGAGAATCTAATCCATGTGGTTACAAAGTAGTCATACAACTATAACTATCTGATACTGGTAAACCTGGAGAACACATTTCTTTTTAAGTTTGACTGTGTTTTTGTCTTGATAACATGCCATTTTTGGCAGTTGTTCATCAAAGGAGATCCCCATGAAGTAGCCACTGTAGGCATCAGATATTAAGTAGGTATTAAAGGAGGCATCTCTTCTAATAAACTTCAGGAATCTTTGGAGTTTGTGAGAAGAGGAAGAAATAGAAAGAGCACAGCCCCTTTCCCAGATGGAAGGTGTGGCTGGCCAGCATTACCATCTCAGAGCTGGCCGTGACAAGTGCCATCTGCCATGGCGGTTCAGCTCTGGCCTTTTTCCAGAATGGCAACATCAATGCTATAGTTCCCTGTGAAATTGGAGAAGTTAATTATACTTTAAAACTTTTTTCTGTTGCCTTAAAGATGCTGGCTTTGGTATATAGGTAAGAATATACATGTATAAAATGCAAGAATTACGTGATGAATTTTCACTTGAATGTGGGCATTAAAACCAAATTCTAGAGCCAGATTGGTTGAGTTTGAGACCTGGTTCTGTTGCTTACCAGTCCTATGACAGGGGAAGTTACACAATCCTTCTGAGCCTCAGTTTCCCATCTGCAAAATGGGAGTGGTAACTACCTACGGCACAGTTGTGGGAGCTAAATGAAATTGTGTAGGTAAAGCACTTAAGAGCACACAGTAAGCATTCAACACATGCTACTATTATTATTATCATCATCAATATCACCAGTCATTTAAATAATAGCCTTTTTATTACATTTGAAATAATTTGTTGTATGGTATAATGGGAAGATCACTGGACTTGGAGTCAAAATCAATGGTTTCTTGGCCCCCATTTTACTATTATTCCTCTGTGATGCCTTGAGATGCTTCTTATCCTCTGTGGGCTTCAGCTTCCTCACCTATAAAATGGAATCAGATAATGCTTAAGTTCTCTTTCAATATATTATTTGCTTCTTTTTATGACTTCTATTAAAACTTACAGTTGTCTTTTAAAAAAACCCTGCCCTAATACTAACCCTACACTAGTAGTGTCTATACATGCTTTCTCTCTCTCTCTTTTACACAACACACACACACACACACACAGATAATCTTACTGTAGGATTTACTTTATATGTCCCTAGGCCGATGCAGAATCATTGAGCAAAATAAAAATCGTATTGGATTTTTCTTAAGGTCATAGTGATACTGCACTACAGAAAATGACTAGTGTTTTCCAGCTTAATACACACAACACACACACACACACACACACACACACCTCAAACCCCTAACATCTTACAAATAAGACCTTTCCATATGAGTCCATAATTTTTTGGCCTTTCAGCCTGACTTTTTTTTTTTTTTTTTTAGATGCAGTCTCGCTCAGTTGCCCAGGCTGGTGTGCAATGGCACCATCTTGGCTCACTGCAATCTCCACCTCCAAGGTTCAAGCGATTCTCCTGCCTCAGCCTCCTGAGTAGCTGGGACTACAGGTGCACACCACCACGCCTGGCTACTTTTTTGTATTTTTAGTAGAGATGGGGTTTTGCCGTGTTGGCCAGGCTGGTCTCAAACTCCTGGCCTCAAGTGATTGGCCCACCTCAGCCTCCCAAAGTGCTGGGATTACAGGCATAAGCCACCACGCCCAGCCTAGCCTGGTCATTTTGATGTAGATTAGTTTTGATTTAGCCTTCAAAGCTAACACCGTTAATCAAACAACTGACACAAAATATGTATGTTTTGAAAAAAGTTACCAAGATAGTTTGGGTTCTTCTGAAAGTTGAGCCTGAATCAAAGGCTTGGAGGAGGGGTGAACCCAGAAAATAAGGGACTGGAGAGAGGTAGATTAGGAAAGAGGGAAAACTGATATACAGGTGAGTTATCCAGGTGATAGGAGTACAATTCCACCTGGATCTCCGAGTAGTGTGGGTCTCTGGGTAGGTAGCCTCTCAGAATCGTCTCTCTGTTGGATGAAACCCTGGGGCATTCATCATCCACCACCAGTTCTGTCCATCCATTGGTTGGGGTTGCCCTAGGGTGTTAATTGCCTTGTACTTCCAGGCTGTGTTTTGTAAGGGCCTGGTGGGCTCCTGGGAGTTCAGCGAATGATTTGAGGCAAGATGTGGAGACTGAGGTAAGGGTGTCGGGTGGGCTCCATAGGCGAATCTGAACTAGCAGGAACTGTTTACTGCAGCTGTGACCGAAATCGGAGGTGAGTCAAGAGGATGGGACACAGGGCACTAAAACAGGCTGCTACAATTTCCCCTTAATGTGGCCACTTGCTGTCTCACCCTGTTTGGGACACCCAACTTTTCCTTGGGCCTCTTGCCCTCACTGTGGTGGGAGTGAGTGTGAGGAATGGGACGGGGGGGGCACTGGGGTGAAGGTCAGGGATATCCATACGTCTCTCGTGAAAAGTGTTTAATTTTAAAAATGAAACTGTTTTTACAATGGTATATTGTTATTGTGATGTGGGGGTGACGGCAGGGGAAAGGCACAGAGACAGCGTAAGGCTGAGGGCGAGGTGCATGCAATGTCAGAGATGTTTGTTTGAAATACTACTAGGCAATAAAAAATGGTGTTTTCTTTATTTTGATGCAGTGATTTGATAGGATTGACAAATGGCAGGTCAAAATGTCATACCTTCACCCCCCATGTCAAAATGCCTGTTCTGATCAGCAGCGTAAGCACATTCCATCTAGCTGGATCTAAAAGAACTAAAATGTAAATGATTTTGGATAAGGTAATATTTATGCTAAGTTTTAATTGTATATATTTAAGGTGTACAACATGATGGTTTATATACCTACCTTGATATACATATACCTAGTGAAATAATTACTACAGCCAAGCAAATTAATATATCCATCATCTATCTCATAGAGTTACCTTTCACGCACATGCACACTTCTGTGTGTGTGTGTGTGTGTGTGCGGCGCCTAAGAGTACCTCAAATCTACTCTTTTGGCAAATTACCCATCTATAATACAATATTAACTATAGTCCTCATGTACATTAGATCTCTAGACTCATTAATCCTGTGAAACTGCTTTATGCAAATATTTGTATTGAAAAGACAAAGATACTTGGAGATGCATATTTGGGTGACATATCATTCTTTCCATAATTACGAAAAGGTTGATCAATATTTTGACAGAATCATTTTGATAATGATAATTCATTGCAGGCTAAAAAAAAAATCCATGTGACTTTCAACTTTTAAAAATTACCAGATAACATTCCTAATAGATACTGCCACCTCTCCTGGCCCCATCCCCTCCTTGATTCTCATCTTTTCCTTCATTCCTTCTCTCTTCTGTAAGAAAATTATTTTAAAAATATATGTCTTCGTTTATTGTTTTTCCCCAATAAATTTACCACATTAGCCATTTTTAAGTACAGAGCTGTTAAGCACATTTATACTGTTGGTTGTGCAAACATCACCACCATCCATCCACAGAGCTATTTTCATCTTGACAAACTGAAACTCTGTACCCATTAAATAAGAGCTCCCCATCCCCATACCC
Source organism: Homo sapiens (assembly GCF_000001405.40). Classification (NCBI taxonomy): domain Eukaryota; kingdom Metazoa; phylum Chordata; class Mammalia; order Primates; family Hominidae; genus Homo; species Homo sapiens. The sequence continues at coordinate 13,869,727 of NC_000006.12, forward strand.
CAGCCCAGGCAACAACCATTCTACTTTGTCTTTATGACTTTGGCTACTGTAGGTACCTCGTATAAGTGGAATCATACAGTATTTGTCTTTTTGTGACTGGCTTATTTCATCTAGCATAATGCCCTTGAGGTTCATTTGTATTGTGGTATGTATCAGAATTTCCTTCCTTCTTAAAGCTGAATAACATTCCATATATATATATATACATATACATATATATACACACACACACACACGCACCAAATTTTGTTTATCCATTCATTTATTGATGGGCACTTGGGTTGGCTTCTACCTTTTAGTCGTTGTGAATAATATAGCTATGAAAATGGGTATACAAATAATCTCTTTGAGACCCAGCCTTCAGTTCTTTTGGATGTATACCCAGTCGTGGAATTGCTAGATCTTATGATAATTCTACTCTTAATATATTGAGAAACTGTCCTTCTGTTTTCCATAGCAGCTACTCCGGTTTGCATTCCCACGCACTGTGCATAAGAGTCCAAATTTCTCCATGTTTCCTGATACTTATTATTTTCTGGTTTTCTGACTAGCCATTCTAATGGATGTGAAACACTTTTTCCTTCAACTGGTACCGGATGTGAGGATTCCAATTGCTTGGAATCAGTTGTCCCGGAGAGCCTCTGGGTAAAGAAAGCCAGTAGCTCTTGGCAGTGGTTACAGAACAAGACACAAGATACACTGAGCTAGAAAATGCATTGCTGTGCGGAAGTTCATTGGGATCACACAAAATAGGCTCACTGCAGTCATTTACTGTGTTTTAAATAGGTTCACTCAGGATAAATGGGAACCAAAACATCTTCAGTTATGGTGCTGTGAGATACATGAATAAAAGCTGTCTATCTTGGTTTTGCTCCAGTAGTTTTGCAAGAAGTCAAAAGTAGTGAAGATCTAGATACTCTGGAGGGTGTCTGGGGAGTGGGGGGGTGAGCAGTTAAGCTTGCTATGAGTTATACTTCAGTGAAAAGTTTCCTTGGAACAAATGCATCTGTAATTCTCATTAATGCTTCTCAGAGCCTTACGGTAGCAAAAAAAAAATGTCCAGTGTGACAGTGTGTCCAGAATTGGTGGGTTCTTGGTCTCACTGACTTCTAGAATGAAGCCGCAGACCCTCGCGGTGAGTGTTACAGTTCTTCAGGTGGCGCGTGTAGGAGTTTGTTCTTTCTGATGTTCGGATGTGTTTGGAATTTCTTCCTTCTGGTGGGTTTGTGGTCTCACTGGCTCAGGAGCGAAGCTGCAGACCTTCGCGCTGAGTGCTACAGCCCTTAAATCGGTGCGTCTGGAATTGTTCATTCCTCCAGGTGGGCTTGCAGTCTTGCTGGCTTCAGGAGTGAAGTTGTAGACCTTCCAGGTGAGTGTTACAGCTTATAAAAGCAGCGTGAACCTAAAGAGTGAGTAGTAACAAGATTTATTGCAGAGTGAAAGAACAAAGCTTCCACAGTGCAGAAGGGGACCAGAGCGGGTTGCCACTGCTGGCTCGGGCAACTTGCTTTTATTCTCTTATCTGGCCCCATCCACATACTGCTGATTGGTAGAGCCAAGTGGTCTGTTTTGACAGGGCACTGATTGGTGCGTTTACAATCCCTGAGCTAGACACAAAGGTTCTCCACTCCCCACTAGATTAACTAGATACAGAGTGTCCACACAAAGGTTCTCCAAGGCCCCAGCAGAGTAACTAGATACAGTGTCAATTGGTGCATTCACAAACCCTGAGCTAGACACAGGGTGGTGATTGGTGTGTTTACAAACTTTGAGCTACAGAGTGCCGATTGGTGTATTTACAATCCCTGAGCTAGACATAAAGGTTCTCCAAGGCCCCACTAAAGCAGCTAGATACAGACTGTCGATTGGTGCATTCACAAACCCTGAGCTAGACACAGGGTGCTGATTGGTGTGTTTACAAACCTTGAGCTAGATACAGAGTGCTGATTGGTGTATTTACAATCCCTGAGCTAGACATAAAGGTTCTCCAAGGTCCCACCAGAGTAGCTAGATAGAGAGTGTCCATTGGTGCATTCACAAACCCTGAGCTAGATACAGGGTGCTGATTGGTGTATTTACAATCCCTGAGCTATACATAAAGGTTCTCCACGACCCCACCAGACTCAGGAGCCTAGCTGGCTTCACTCAGTGAATCTTGTACCGGGGCTGCAGGTGGAGCTGCCTGCTAGTCCCGCGCCTCTCAGCCCTTGGGTGGTTGATGGGACTGGGCGCTGTGGAGCAGGGGGCGGCGCTCGTCGGGGAGGCTTGGGCGGCACAGGAGCCCACGGAGAGGGTGGGAGGCTCAGGCATGGCGGGCTGCAAGTCCCGAGCCCTGCCCTGCCGGAAGGCAGCTAAGGCCCAGTGAGAAATCAAGAGCAGCGCCGGTGGGCTGGCACTGCTGGGGGACCCAGTACATCCTCTGCAGCCGCTGGCCTGGGTGCTAAGCTCCTCATTTCCTGGGGCTGGCAGGGCTGGCCGGCTGCTCCCAGTGCGGGGCCCGCCAAGCCCACGCCCACGCGGAACTCTAGCTGGCCCGCAAGCGCCGCGCGCAGCCCCGGTTCCCGCTCGCTCCTCTCCCTCCACACCTCCCTGCAAGCTGAAGGAGCCGGCTCCGGCCTTTGCCAGCCCAGAAAGGGACTCCCAGGGTGCAGTGGTGGGCTGAAGGGCTTACTCAAGTGCCGCCAAAGTGGGAGCCCAGGCAGAGGAGGTGCCGAGAGCGAGTGAGGGCTGTGAGGACTGCCAGTACGCTGTCACCTCTCAACAGCATATTCAAGGTGTGGTCTTGGGGTTTCAGGCAGCTCCAGCAGCATTGGCTTTGGCTTTCATTTTTTTTTTTCTTTGCTTCTGCTGAGGGTGATTCCAGGGACTTTTTAACCTCCTGTCTATACTTCTGGTTCAATCTCTTTGCACACAAGGAAGCAATTTCTACTGTACGGGAAAGGTTCATTTCCCCATGACCCCCACATTTTGTTTTTCAAGTGCTCAACAATTGGGAACAAGTTTATTGTCATCCAGGTGAGGCAGTTAAGCGGGAGTGTCACACCAGTATTTGTGAAGGAGAGGGCTTAAATATGGGTAACAGGGGAATGTGATGTGTTTATTCCGGCAACAACCTCAGACATTAAACTTCCTCTTCTGATCCTACACCACTCCTTCCCCATCACCAGTGGTTAGGCAACAGGGTGACTCTCATGGGCTGAACTGTGTTCCCCTTACCACCCACCCAGGTTTATATGTTGAAGACCCAACCCCTGTATCTCAGAATGTCACCATATTTGGAGATAAGGTCTTTACAGAGGTGACTGAGGTAAAATGAGGCCACTAGGGTGGGCCTTAATCCAATATGTGATGTCTAATGGAGAAACCAGGGGTCCTGGGGCACAGAGAAAAGACCATGAGGACATAGCAAGAAAGTGGCCATCTACAAGCCACGGAAGGGAGGTCTTGGGAGAAACCAACCCTGCCAACACTTTGATCTTGGATTTTCAGTCTCTAGAACTGTGAGAGAATCAATTTTTGTTGTTTAAGCCCCTCAGTGTGTTGACTGTTCCGGTGGCCCTAGCAAACTAATACAGTGGCCTTGTGCAGGTGAGACAGTTGAGAAAAAGAGGAAAACTGGTTTTCCCTCTTTTCCGGTGTGTGTGTGTGTGTGTGCGTGTGAGAGAGAGATTAGAGGGCGGGGAGGGGAGAAGAGAGGAAGCAAGCTAACCGGAGAGAGAGCAGGTGAGTTTTCTTTTGCAGAACAGAGTTAATGAAGTGGCAACTCTGCCTTCCCTGTGCCTTTCCTGTGAATCTGGGAATTTCCACCCGTCCCTCCCACGAAGTCCCAGTAGGATCCCTCGGGCCGGGCAGAGCCTGGCCTGCGGTCCTGCTGGCTCTTCGCCAAGCTGCCCGGTACTCGCAGGGTGATGGGCAGGGACTTGGCGGGAGGCAGAGGGACGTCGGAGGGCAGGGCGGGAGTGAGATCGCCTCTGGTTTCTGTGGAGAACTCCTGCACCTGGGTCAGGGTCTCAGCCACGGACAAGGGGCGTGGCTCTGCAGAGCGAAGCAGCAGCTCCACCCGTTCGCAGGGAGGGAGGGGGCGGAGGTGGCCTCACTGCCTGAGGGGGTCCTACCCCTCCCGAGGACGCGACGCAAAAGCCAGTAGACTCACGACGCCCCCCGCATGTCACACGACAAGGCCAGCAGGGCCGCCACCAGAGGGCACCAGCGGCTGGGACCCGCAGGAAAGGGAGGAAGAACAGGTGGCGCCGGTGAGGCGAAGGCGAGGGCACGAGGGGGTGGCCTGCGGCCCGCGCTGCTCCGGGGAGGGGCTTCCACCTGGACAGTGACGGAAGCCAGGGCGACTCAACAGGACACATTTGCACCATTTGCACGGCTGGGTGAAACGACAACCCCTCAGCTGGGCTCAAATTACCTGAAGGGCCTGCATCTACAACAGATTAGCTTTCGGTTTTCCTCCCGGGCTGCTCCTAGGGCACCCAGGGGGAGAGTTCCACAAAGTAAGAGTCATTAAAATTACCAATAAGAAGAGGAAAACTGCTACGTATTTGTTCTGATTGAGCTGAGAATCCTGAATCCCGAGAATCCTGAAATAGAATTGGTTCAGGGACCACCGTCTGACAACTATTGTGTAATCCTCCGTCACACAAACGGAAGTCTTCTTATAGGTGTGCCCTTCACTGTGTCTACAGGCTGGATTTTAGGACTAACACGAGCACCGTGCTGTAGCTTAACACAGAAAATCCCAATGTTAGGACAGAACACTACTAGCCGTAGTACAGAGGGCCACTTCATAATAATAAAACATATTTAGCAGGAAGAGAGAATACTTGCGTGCACTTAATAACAGAGCTTTGTGGTATACCAAGGAAAATGGACAGAACTATTAGGAAAAATAGACAAATCCACTCTCGTAAATATTTTAAACGCACTATATTAGATCATTCTTGCATTGCTGTAAATAAACACCGGAGACTGGGTAATTTATATAGAAAAGAGGTTTAATTGGCTCACAGTTCTGCAGGCCGTACAGCAAGCTTGTCCAACCTGTGGCGTATAGGCCTCATGTGGCCCAGGACAGCTTTGAATGTGGCCCAACACAAATTCATAAACTTCCTTAAAACATTATGAGACTTTTTTGCAATTTTTTTTAAAGCTCATCAGCTATCGTCAGTGTTAGTGTATTGCATGCGTGGCCCAAGACAATTCTTCTTCCAATGTGGCCTATGAAAGCCCAAAGATTGGACACCCCTGCTTTACAGGAAGCATAGTGGCATCTGCTCAGCTTCTGTGGAGCCTCAGGAAATTCACAGTCATGGTAGAAGTTGAAGCCGGGCAGGCATCTCACATGGCAAATGCAGAGGCAAGAGAGGGAGAGCAGGAGGAAGGTGCCACACACTTTCAAAGGACCAGGTCCCGAGTGAACTCAGCATGAGAGCTCATTGATCACCAAGGGGATGGCCCAAGCCATTCATGAGGGATCCATCCCCATGATCCAAATACCTCCCACCAGGCCCCACTTCCAACACTGGGGATGAAAATCAACATAAGATTTGGGTGGGGGGGTGGGGGACGGGCGCGGTGGCTGACGCCTATAATCCTAGCACTTTGGGGGTCTGATTCGGGTGGATCATCAGGTCAGGTGTTCGAGACCAGCCTGGCCAACATGGTGAAACCCCGTCTCTACTAAAAGTACAAATACTAGCTGGGAGTTGTGACACACCTCTGTAGTCCCAGCTACTCAGGAGGCTGAGGCAGAAGAATCGCTTGAACCAAGGAGGCAGAGGTTGCAGTAAGCTGAGATTGGGCCACTGCACTGCACTCCAGCCTGAGCGACAGGGTGAGACTCTGGCTCAAAAAAAAAAAAAAAAGATTTGGGCGGGGACAAGTCTCCAAACTATATCAGACTTTTCTCAATTATTGAAGATCGAAAGATTGTAAATCAATAAGGACATGGGTGATTTCAATACTACTACTAGAACTAATAATACTATAATATATTATAAAACCTTGCATCCAAAAGTTGGAAGATATATGTATTTTTTACCAGTACACCTGGAACATACACAAAAATTGACCATGAATGACCCATAAAACTCATCTCAACAAATTTCAGAGATCACCTATTTTGACTAGAGTGCAATTAAGGTAAAGATCAACAGGAAAAGATAACAATTCTGTGTGTTCGGAAATTAAATAAAATTCTAAATACCCAGTGAATTAAAAGGAGAAAGCATAATGAAAATTCAAAAATATTAAAAATAGAATGGTAATACTACATATCAACATTTAAGTATATAACCAAAGAGGTATTTCATGAGAAATTTTTAGCCTTATAAGGAGAAGCTGAACATTTAGAAAGGAAATAATAGAGAAGTAATGAAACAGAAAATGAAGAAACAATAGTGAGTATCAACAAAGTTAAAAGGTGGCTCATTGAAAAGACAAATTTCTGGCAATGTTAAAGAAAACCTGCAATTAGACATATGGTAATACAATTGCAAACCATCGAAGACAAAAAATGTTAAAAATGTAGTACACAAATAAGAACAAATTATACTGTCAGTAAAGGTATCAAGAGCAAAAATAGAAACCAGAAAAGAAGGAAACAATATTTTTAAAGTGCTGAAGGAAAATAACATCAATGTAGAATTGTATATCCAGCAAAACTTTTTCAATAACAAACCCGAAATATAGATTATTCTGATAAATAAAAGCTGAGTTTATCATCAACAGATTGTCACTAAGGAATTTCTAAAAGATATACCTCAAGAAGATGGACAACAACTTCAGAAGAAAGAGCCAAGATATATACTTCGGGAGGCCAAGGGAGGCGGATTGCCTGAGTTCAAGAGTTCAAGACCAGCCTGGCTAACATAGTGAAACCCTGTCTCTACTAAAAATACAAAAATTAGCCAGGTGTGGTAGTGGACACCTGTTATCCCAGCTACTTAGGAGGCTGAGGCAGGAGAAATGATTGAACCCGGGAAGCTGAAGTTACAGATCGCACCACTGCACTCCAGCCTGGGCGACAGAGCGAGGCTTCATATAAAAAAAAAGAAAAAAAAAGCCAAGATATCTAAACATAGAAAAGGTACAGTAAAAATATAGTATAAAAGATAAAAAATGGTACACCTCTAATAGGGCATGTGTTAGTTTGTTTACATTGCTTTAAAGGAATACCTGAGCTGGGCAATTTATAAAGAAAAGAGGTTTAATTGGCTCACAGTTCTTCGGGCTATCCAGGAAGCATGGCACTGGCATTTGCTTAGTTTCTGGTGAGAGCTTCAGAAATCATGGTGGAAGGCCAATGGGGAGCTGGCATATTGCATGGTGAGAGAGAGAGAGAGAGAAAGCAGGGAGGTACCACACTCTTTTAAATCACCAGATCTTGTGTGAACTCAGAGTGAGAACTCACTCATTATCATGAGAATAGCACCAACCCATTCATGAAGGATCTGACCCCATGACCCAAACATCTCCCACCAGTCCCCACCTTGAACACTGGGGATTACATTTCACCATGAGATTGGGAGGGGACAAACATCCACACTATATCAGGCACTTGTCATGAATGGAGCTTGCAGGAGTGGAAGTTGTTCTGTATGAGTCAGTGAGTGGGTGGTGAGTGAATGTGAAGGCCTAGGACATCACTGTACACTACTATAGACTTTATAAATGTTGCATACTTAGGCTACATTAAGTTTATATGAAAAATTGTGCTCTGACATTGGCTACGAAGTTACTAGGCAATGGGAATTTTTCACCTCTATTATAATCTTATGGGATCACTGTCTTATATGCAGTCTTTCATTGACTGAAATATTATAAAGCATGTGGCTGCAGAATGTTTGTTTTCAAATCAGTCCAAGGGAAAAAATAAATTGGCAAAAAACCTTAATTAATCCCCAGGAGGAAAAAAAAAGGAAGAAAATATACACATAAGCATACACAGATGTGTGTGTATATAAATATTTAATAAGTGTATTAATTTAAATCTTATTTGGTACTTTTTGTTTACCCTACTCATATAAGATGTTGGAAGTAATTTAAATATATCAGAAATCACTGTAAAGGTAAATGAACCTCTTCAGTTAAACAGTGTTCAAACTGGATTAAAAAAATACAATGATATGCTATTTTTAGAGACACGTAAAATTTAAGGACAGAGAAAGATTGAAAGAGAAAATCTCTACAAAAAAAGAAAAAAATAATTATTTCAGGCAACTTCCTTCACTATTAGAGCCAGAATTCTGGAGTCAGGCTGAAGGTTTCATGCTTCTTGCCCAGATGCTTGTTCTCCCATGTGCCATGGGTGTGCCATTGCTCCCAACAACACATTAAGCCAGTTTTCTAGTTTCCTAGGAAACTTGAGTGCAGGGTCTTCTCATGCTGGGGCCCCATCATGACTGCTGTGGATCTCCTTGGTGGTTCATCAAGAGGCATGGAAGGATGTTCTTTTTCTCAAGTATTAAGAAGTGAAGGATGACAATATATTTTAAGTGCTGAAGGGAAAGAATTGTCAACTTAGCATTGTATACCCAAGAGACCTGTTTTTTCAAGATAGGTGACTTCATCCCTGTAACCTTATTTAAAACTATGTCTTGGGCAACCCCCTTTGGGACCCCTCCCATTGTATGGGAGCTCTGTTTTCACTCTGTTAAATCTTGCAACTGCATACTCTTCTGGTCTGTGTTTGTTACAGCTTGAGCTGAGCTTTCACTCACCGTCCACCACTGCTGTTTGCTGCCATCGCAGACTTGCCACTGACTTCCACCCCTCCAGATCCAGCAGGGTGTCTGCTGCTCTCCTGATCCAGCGAGGTGCTCATTGCCACTCCTGATCGGGCTAAAGGCTCTCTATCGTTCCTGCACAGCTAAGTGCCCGGGTTTGTCCTAATTGAGCTGAACACTAGTCTCTCGGTTCCATGGTTCTCTTCCGTGACCCATGGCTTCTAATAGAGCTATAACACTCACTGCATGGCCCAAGGTTCCATTCCTTGGAATCCATGAGTCCAAGAACCCCAGGTCAGAGAACAAAAGGCTTGCTGCCATCTTGGGAGTGGCCCGCCACATCTTGGGAGAGCTAAGAACAAAGACCTGCCCGTAACATTTGGTGGTAACCGTATGGGAATTCTCCAAAGCAGTGAGTAATATCGGACCACTTTGCTTGCTATTCTGTCCTATCCTTCCTTAGAATTGGTGGAAAATACCGGGCACCCGTCAGCCAGTTAAAAACGATTAGCGTGGCTATGGGACTAAAGACTCAGTTGTGAGGCTTCCTGGGAAAGGGCTTTCTAACAACCCCCAACCCTTCTGGGTTGGGAGCGTTGGTCTGCCTGGAAGCAGCTTCCACTTTCACAGTTTTCCTGGGGAAGCCGAGGGTTGACTACAGGTAGAAAGCTGTCATCCCGAACTCCCAGCATTAGTTGGTTGAGATCATGGCCCAGCCAGAAGTCTCTACTCAATAGTCGCCCATGCGTGTGCCCCTACCTTTCCTTTTGACCCATACCTCCTGGGTCGCGACCATGACTTTCTTGAAAGTGCAGCCCAAAATTCTCCTTACCTCTGAATCTAATTCCTCTGATCCCTGCCTCCTAGGTACTAATGGTTCAGACTTTCATTTCCTCTATCAAGTTGTTATCTCGAAAGGGATCTAAGGAAGCTCTACACTGTATCCTTAGGCATCTAGGCTATGAACCCAGGGAGTTTTGTCCCTGCTGTCCATCCCAATTTAGGCATATAGCTCTCGACATGGGCAGTTATGTGGGATCCGTTCCCCACCACCCTTGTCAGGGCCTTAGAACTGATGACCCAGTACTTTTAACAACTGGGACTGGGTTTACGACAACATAATAGATCAGGATGAAAGCTAATTGAGTAAGTCAAGGCAGAGAAAGAGAGAGGGGAAAGAGAGGCAGAGAAAGAGGGAGGGGAAAGAGAGGCAGAGCCGGGGGAAGAGAGGCAGAGAGAGAGAGGAAAAAGAGAGATAGAAGTAGTAGAGAAAAAAAAGTGTGTCCTATTCCTTTAAAAGCCAGGATAAATTTAAAACCTATAATTAATAATTGAAGGTCTTCTCCATGACCCTATAACACTCCAATACTACCTTGTTGTCAGTGTAAACAAGGGCGTAGCCTGAAAACACTGAGACCACTGACAACCCTTAGCCTTCCTATCAAAAATCCTTAACCCAGTAACCCGTGGATGGCCCAAATGCATTCACTCTGTAGCAGCAACTGCTTTGCTAACAGAAGAAAGTAGAAAAATAACCTTTAGAGGAAACCTCATTGTGAGCACACCTCACCAGTTCAGAACTATCCTAAGTCAAAAAAGCGAAAAGGTGGCTTACTAACTCAAACATCTTAAAGTATGGAGATATTCTGTTAGAAAAAGGTGATTTAACACTAACCACTGAAAATTCCCTTAACCCAGAAGATTTCCTAACAGGAGATTTAAATCTTAATTACCATACAAAGGTCCGAACGACCAGACCTAGGAGGAACTCCCTTCAGGACAGGATGATGGATGGCTCCTCCCAGGTCACTGAGGAAAAAACACAATGGGTATTAAGTAATTGATAGGGAAACTCTTCTAAAAGCAGAGTTAGGAAAATTGCCTAATAATTGGTCAGCTCAAACGTGCGTGGGAGCTGTTTGCACTCAGCCAAGCCTTAAAGTACTTACAGAATCAAAAAGCCTCTATCTCAATCCTGACTTAAAAGGTTACCTACACCCTCTCTGAAACGAATTTGCATAAGAACTGTTGTTTATGGGAATGCATCTTGATGGGGCAGCTGGTTGTTATGAAATACTCAGGAACCAGGCCAGGCGCGGTGGCTCATGCCTGTAACCACAGCACTTTGGGAGGCCGAGGTGGGCGGATCGTGAGGTCAGGAGATCGAGACCATCCTGGCTAACACAGTGAAACCCCATCTCTACTAAAAATATAAAAAATTAGCTGGGCATGGTGGTGGGCGCCTGTATTCCAGCTACTTGGGAGGCTGAGGCAGGAGAATGGCGTGAACCTGGGAGGTGGAGCTTGCAGTGAGCCGAGATCGGACCACTGCACTCCAGCCTGGGCGACAGAGCGAGACTCCGTCTCAAAACAAAGCAAAACAAAAACTCAGGAACCCAGCCCAGCTCTAGGACTCACCCCTGACCACAAAGGCAATGTTGGGCATGCTGGTAAAGGACCACTAGAATCCAGCAGCCCGGACCCCTTTCTTACATCAGTGAGTGTAACTAATCCGATAAGCAGAGGTCCATGGGTGGTTATGCACCATGGAAAGGAATAAGCATTAGGACCATAGAGGACGCTCTAGGACTAATGCTCATCAGAAAATGACTAGGGGTGTTGGCATCCCTGTGTTCTTTTTTCAGATGGGAAACATTCCCCCCAAGGCAAAAATGCTCCTAAGATGTATTCTGGGGAATTCAGCCCCATCAGAGTGTATGTACCTTTTTCCCTGTCAGACTTGAAGCGAATTAAAATAGACTTAGGTAAATTCTCAGATAGCCCTGATGGCTATATTGATGTTTTACAAGGGTTAGGACAATCCTTTGATCTGACATGAAGAGATATAATGTTACTGCTAGATCAGACACTAACCCCAAATGAGAGAAGTGCTGCCGTAACTGCAGCCCGAGACTTTGGCGATCTCTGGTGTCTCAGTCAGGTCAATGATAGGATGAAAACAAAGGAAAGAGAACAATTCCCCACAGGCCAGCAGGCAGTTCCCAGTGTAAACCCTCACTGGGACGCAGAATCAGAACATGGAGATTGGTGCCGCAGACATTTGCTAACGTGCGTGCTAAAAGGACTAAGGAAAACTAGGAAGAAGCCTATGAATTACTCAATGATGTCCACTATAACACAGGCAAAGGAAGAAACTCCTACTGCCTTTCTGGAGAGACTAAGGGAGGAATTGAGAAAGCATACCTCTCTGTCACCTGACTCTATTGAATGCCAACTAATCTTGAAGGATAAGTTTATCACTCAGTCAGCCGCAGACATTAGAAAAAAACTTCAAAAGTCTGCCTTAGGCCTGGAGCAAAACTTAGAAACCCTATTGAACTTGGTAACCTCAGTTTTTTGTAATAGAGATCAGTAGGAGCAGGCGGAACAGGACAAACGGATTTAAAAAAAGAAAAAAAGAAAAAGAAGGCCACGCTTTAGTCATGGCCCTCAGGCAAGCGGACTTTGGAGGCTCTGGAAAAGGGAAACGCTGGGTGAATCGAATGCCTAATAGGGCTTGCTTCCAGTGTGGTCTACAAGGACCCTTTAAAAAAGATTGTCCCAATAGAAATAAGTTGCCCCCTCGTCCATGCCCCTTATGTCAAGGAAATCACTGGAAGGCCCACTGCCCCAGGGGATGAAATTCCTCTGAGTCAGAAGCCACTAAGCAGATGATCCAGCAGCAGGACTGAGGGTGCCCGGGGCAAGCACCAGCCCATGCCATCACCCTCACAGAGCCCTGGGTATACTTGATCATTGAGGGCCAGGAGGTTAACTGCCTCCTGGACACTGGCGCTGTCTTCTCAGTCTTACTTTCCTGTCCTGGACAACTGTCCTCCAGATCTGTCACTATCTGAGGGGTCCTAGGACAGGTAGTCACTAGATACTTCTCCCAGCCACTAAGTTGTGACTGGGGAACTTTACTCTTTTCACATGCTTTTCTAATTATGCCTGAAAGCCCCACTCCTTTGTTAGGGAGAGACATCCTAGCAAAAGTAGGGGCCATTATACACTAGAATTAGAAGGAAAAAGGGTAAATGTATATACAGACTCTAAGTATGCTTACCTAGTCCTCCATGTCCACACAGCAATATGGAGAGAAACAGAATTCCTAACTTCTGAGGGAACACCTATCAAACATCAGGAAGCCACTAGGAGATTATTATTGGCTGTACAGAAACCTAAAGAGGTGGCAGTCTTATGTTGCCGGGGCCATCAGAAAGGAAAGGAAAGGGAAATAGAAGGGAACCGCCAAGCGGATATTAAAGCCAAAAGAGCCGCAAGGTGGGACCCTCCATTAGAAATGCTTATAGAAGGACCCCTAATATGGGGTAATCCCCTCTGGTAAACCAAGCCCCAGTACTCAGCAGAAGAAATAGAATGGGGAACCTCACGAGGACATAGTTTCCTCCCCTCAGGATGGCTAGCCACCAAAGAAGGAAAAATACTTTTGCCTGCAGCTAACCAATGGAAATTACTTAAAACCCTTCACCAAACCTTTCACTTAGGCATTGATAGCACCCATCAGATGGCCAAATCATTATTTACTGGACCAGGCCTTTTCAAAACTATCAAGCAGATAGTCAGGGCCTGTGAAGTGTGCCAAAGAAATAATCCCCTACACTTCAGGCCATACATTTCAATCCCTGTATCTTTAACCTCCTTGTTAAGTTTGTCTCTTCCAGAATTGAAGCTGTAAAACTACAAATCGTTCTTCAAATGGAGCCCCAGATGCAGTCCATGACTGAGATCTACCATGGTCCCCTGGACTGGCCTGCTAGCCAATGCTCCAATGTTGATGACATTGAAGGCACCCCTCCCGAGGAAATCTCAACTGCCCAACCCCTATTATGCCCCAATTCAGCAGGAAGCAGTTAAGAGCGGTCGTCGGCCAACCTCCCCAACAGCACTTGGGTTTTCTGTTGAGGGGGTTACTGAGAGACAGGACTAGCTAGATTTCTTAGGCCAACTAAGAATTCTTAAGCCTAGCTGGGGAAGGTGACTGCACCTACCTTTAAACACGGGGTTTGTAACTCAGCTCACACTCAACCAATCAGATAGTAAAGAGGGTTCACTAAAATACAAATTAGGCTAAAGTAGGAGGTAAAGAAATAGTCAAATCATATATCGCCTGAGAGCACAGTGGGAGGGACAATGATCGGGATATAAATCCAGGCATTCAAGCAGGGAGCAGCAACCCCCTTTGGGTCCCCTCCCATTGTATGGGAGCTCTGTTTTCACTCTATTAAATCTTGCAACTGCAAAAAAAACACACACACACACAAACAAAAAAACCAAAAACAAAAACATAACAACTATGTCTTTTTCTCCTTCCTTCAGCCTAACCACTCTGAATAGTTTTTTTATCATAGAACTTACCCCATCTGACATATTGTATGTTTTTCTTATCCATTTAATTATTATCTCTTTTTCTCTTCCTCTCTCCCCCAGGAGAATACAAGCTTCAGGAGGGCAGAGATTCCCAAGGAATAATACATAGAGTCCCTCAATAAAGAGTTAAGGTGTTACTCATATCATAAATACAGTCTTAACTTCACAGATGGATGTACAGTGATAAAAATAAATTGTTTTTAAAATTCTTCCTGTTATCCAAAGTTATCACAGGATTAGGTCCTTACCAAGGAGACTGTGTCTGACTTCTAGGCCAGCTCAGGCCCTGGCTATCTCTTCCTTCATGACTGCTTCAGAAGGAACCTTGTACAGATAACACAGCCATTTATTCTCTCTCTACTGAGTTTAAGTGGTGGTTTGGCTTGCTTTAGGAGTGACTTCTAAAGACAAAATTTTGAGATCCTAGCCAATTGGAGATGAATTAAAATTGAGATAATGCATTTCTCATTGAGTCACTATTTTTTTCCCTCAAAGTGTAGTTTATATAGTAACAGGTATTTCCTTGGCCTCATGCTTGAATATTCAAAATAGTTACAGAAAAAGGTGACAAATAATGATTTTAAGGCTCCAAGCGGTCCAGCTAGTGGAATTGCCAGCAGTGCCTTACAATTCTGCCTTCTAGCCTAGTGTGTACATGAGTGTGTGTATGTGTGTGTGTGCGCATGTGGGGTGTGCATAAGTATGTGACTGTGTGTATGAGCGTGTGGGCATGGTGATACGCATTTGTGAATATGTGTATGACTATGTGGGGTGTGTCAGTGTGAAACCGTTTGGGATCCCTCATGACCACCTCTCCTTCCTGGCAGGACCTGACTTAACACTCACATTACTGTGGAGATGACCCCTGCCTGCCTCCCTGTACCCCTGTAGCTTCTGCTGCCTAGTGCCACACAATCTTGCTTAGGAGACTTTCTCCTTCCACTAACTCCCTGTGACTCCAGGCTGCCATTGCCTCTTCCTTTGAACTTTTCTCCTGCCACTAACTCCCTGTGACTCCAGGCTGCCATTGCCTCTTCCTTTGAACTTTCTCTCAGTATTGCCATCGACTTCAGTTTTCAGGTAGCTGCTACCTGGAGTCTCTTTGGTCCAACCCAGTTGCTTGCTTGGCTGAGCTATAGGAAGTGGCACTGCATTTTTCTACCTTAGCCACCTCTTCCTCAACCTCCCTCTGTCCTATCCCTTCCATTTTGACCTTCAGGGAGTGTTCCACTCCTTCACATCTAATTTCTTCCTCCCTGTTTTGGAGTTTGTTACAATCATATCTTATCAAGAACACCCTATTCCACAAAATAATATATGAGTAGTTTCCTTAGAACAGTAGTTATGTTTCTATTTCATAATTATGGTTTTTTTTTGAGATGGAGTCTTGCTCTGTTGCCCAGGCTGGAGTGCAGTGGTGCAATCTCAGTAAACTCCGCCTCTTGGGTTCAAGTGATTCTCTTGCCTCAGCCTCCCAAGTAGCTGGGATTACAGGTGCCTGCCACAACACTGGCTAATTTTTGTATTTTTAGTAGAGATGAGGTTTCATCATATTGGCCAGGCTGGTCTTAAACTCCTGGCCTCAAGTGATCCACCCACTTCGGCCTCCCAAAGTGCTGGGATTACAGGCAGGAGCCACAGTGCCCTGCCTATAAATTATGTTTTAATGGCTGATATGGATGTTTCCCTCTATTGTAACTTGACATTGTAGCTGCTTAAAACAAGAAGCTTATACTCAGTAAATGCAAACACTTTTCTCCTCTAGAGGGATTTTTTTTTTTTTTGGCATTTATAAACTTCCCTTTGGACACGTCATTTTTTCCCCCATCCTTATGCAGAAGAGTATGTTCAGCTTTTGGAAACAATACTTACTAGTTTTATAATTTTGCTAGTTCTTTTCTCCTCTTAATTGCTCTTTGGATTTTCTCCAAAATGTTAGCATTTATTTGCAATTAAAAGGTGCCAAAAACATGGCCACATTTCTTCCCCTATCTTGGAGCTAAGCTAACTTGTTTCCTAATTCAGCAAGGTCTCATCTAACTCTGAATATAGCCAGTTGAGCTGTAAAACAAACAAAGAATCAAATTTCGAGCTCCAAGAAGGGCATTTTTATAAGAAATATAATATATTTTGAAAAATTTCAGAGACAGAATCTCACTCTGTTGCCTAGGCTGAGTGCAGTGGCACAATCTTGGCTCACTGCAGCCTTGAACTCCTGGGCTCATGCCATCCTCCCACTTCAGCCTCCTGAGTAGCTGGGATTATAAGTGTATACCACAATGCCCAGCTATTTTTTTAAATTAAAAAACAAATTTTTTTAGTAAAATTTTTTTAAATTTGTTTTTGTAGAAATGGGGTCTTGCTATGTTGCCCAGGCTTGTCTTGAACTCCTGGGCTCAAGTGATCCTCCTGCCTTGGCCTCCCAAAATGTTGGCATTACTTACAGGTGTGAGCTACCATACCTGGCCTGGTACATTTTTAAATTGGGACCCACAGTCCTTTCTCTAACACAATGGCTCTCAAACTTTAGAATAAGCTGGAAAGCTTACTAAAAAAGGTGTAAGCCTAGGCCTGTCTCATACCAAATTAGAATCTTCAGGAAGTAGGGTCGAGGCAAGTCTGGGAATCACTACCACAACATGTAAATAGCTGAGGATTAAGGGCCTGTTGAGGATTAAGGGCCTATTGCTACAGAGTGGTAATCTTGAGATTGATTTTGTCGCAATTTGAATGATTTTATTCATTTCAATAAGGGAAAGAAAGAAGGGGACTAGAAATTAGTGAGTACAAACTTCAAGGCCTTTGCACCTGCTGTTTTTGCTACCTGGGATGCTCTTTCTCCACATGTCAATTTCCTGTCTCCTCCTCAGCAGTTAGTGTCAGCTAGAATGTGCTCTCATCAGAGAACTGTTCCACGATAGTCTTTTATTTTTTTTTTTTTTTTGAGATGGAGTCTTGCTCTGTCATCCAGGCTGTGGTGCTATCTTGGCCCACTGCAACCTCCACCTCCCAGGTTCAAGTGATTCTCAGCCTCCCCGGTAGCTGGGATTACAGGTGCATGCCACCACTCCCGGCTAATTTTTGTATTTTTAGTAGAGATGGGGTTTCACCATGTTGGTCAGGCTGTTCTCAAACTCCTAACCTCAAGTGATCCGCCCACCTTGGCCTCCCAAAGAGCTAGAATTACAGGCATTCTTATCTAAAGAAGTATTTCCTCTTCTCACTCCCACTTTCTATTATTTCAGCCTGTTTTATTGCCTTTATAATACTTACAAATCATTGTCTGAAGTTATCTTGTTTATAGCTTTATAGTTTATTGTCCTCTTCCCCTATTGGAATGTACTTCCTAAATCCTCAAGCCTAGGACAGTACCTGGCACATAATAGGTGCTTAAAGGTGAATGAATGAATAAATATGCTAGGTATATCTATACATGATTTCACGGAATCCCCACAGCTACCTAGTAAAGTAGACGTTGTTCTGTCTGTTTCATGTTTGAGGAAACTGAGGCTCAGAGAAAGTAAATCACTTAGGCCAGGCACAGTGGCTCATGCCTATAACCCCAGCACTTTGGAAGGCTGAGGCAGGAGGATCATTTGAGGCCAGGAGTTTGAGATCAGTCTGGGCAACGCAGCAAGATCACGTCTCTACAAAAACATACCTAGGCGTGGTGGTGCACACCTGTAGTCCCAGGAGGCTGAGGCGGGAGGATTGCTTGAGCCCAGGAGGTCGAGGCTGCAGTGAGCTTTGATCATGCCACTAGAGATAGGGTGAGACCCAATCTTTAGCCAAAAAAAAAAAAAAGAAAAAAACAAAAGAAAGAAAAAGAAAGAGAGAAAGAAAGAAAAAGATAAGAAAAAAGAAAAGAAAATCACTTGCTCCAAAGTCACTTGGTTAGTGGCTTGTGTTATTGGAATTTGAACCCAGGTCTGCTTGACCTCAGTGTCTGTGTTTCTTCTAGTAGCACATATCAAGCAGTAGGAGATGCTGTGCCCAGTTAACAGAAATGGAAATTATTTCCCTGTCCTCAATGTGCTTGTATCTCAGTGGGATGACAGATTTGCAAACACATATAAGGACAGGCAAAGTTTAAACGTGGTGAGGACAGCTAATGTGGTAATGATGACCCTTTGAGTTGCCCTTTTCTCTGGGAATGGCACCCCCGTCCACCCAGTTTTTCAGATAACTCTTCTCTTTGTTTCATCACAAATGGCCATCCAACCACTAAGTCCTGTTAATTTCTACCTCCTAGTTATGGCTCAAATTGCAAGGGGTGTGGAAATGTATATTCATGGACATCTTCTTCAGAGAGGTGACCCTGCTTCTTCAACTGATCTACTGCAACTGCCCTGTGACTTCCTCACTCATCCTCTCTAATCCATTCTCAGTCTGCAATCCGTCTGTCATTTCATCCATTCTGGAGCCAGACAGGGCCTTGTAAAACAAATTTTATTTCATCTCTTTGCTTAAGACTCAAGAGCTACCCATAGCTCTTAATGTAAAGTCAAAACTTCTTGGTGGTCCAGTCACTCTTTATTTTCTCAGCCCCCCCTTTTCTTTTTGTTGAGACAGAGTCTCACTCTGTAGCCCAAGCTGGAGTGCAGTGGTGCGATCGTGGCTCACTGCAACCTCTGCCTCTGGGGCTCAAACGATTCTCATGCCTCAGCCTCCCAAGTAGCTGGGACTACAGGCACATGCCACCATACCTGGCTAATTTTTTGTATTTTAGTAGAGATGGAGTTTCACCATGTTGCCCAGGGTGGTCTCGAACTCCTGAGCTCAGGAGATCTGCCCGCCTCAGCCTCCCAAAGTGCTGGGATTACAGGCCTGAGCAACCGCACCTGGCCTCTCAGCCTCTTCTCTTACCATTTTGTCCTTTCTCACTCTACATTCCAGCCTTCTGCTGCTTAATACAATATCAACTCTTGCCTCCTGACCTTTGCACGTGCTGGATGATTCCTTCCCTCACTCAGGCTGAACATCTCCTACTCACCTAGGAAGCCCTCCCCGATCACCCAAGTCTAATTAAGTGCCCCTCATCTGCACTTCCACAATACGCTACTCATCCTTACATCATGACACTTATAAATGATATTGTAATTACTTTTTTGTCTGTGTACTTCAAGAAGGCATGTTCATCATTGACTATTAGTGAATAGCATTGTGCGTGACATTCAGAAGGTGCTTAATACTTTGTTGTTGTTTTTGGTACATGAAGGAAGTAAGTTGCTGGTGATATAAAGGCATTTGTGATGGAATTTCAGGCAGGAAGGGAGGACTTGTTTTGACAGACAGAAGCCTGGTCCTCTGTCTTGTCTGCAACTGCTGCCATAACAAAATACTACAGACTGGGAGGTTTAAACAACAGAAGTTCATTCTCTCACAGTTGTGGAGGCTAGAAGTGCAGGATCAAGGTGTGGGCAGAGTTGGTTTTTGCTGAAGCCTCTCTCCCTGGCTTGTAGATGGTGTCTTCTTGCTGCGTCCTTCTGTGGGCTTTACTCAGTGTAGACTGTTGATATGGTTTGGCTGAGTCTGCACCAAAATCTCATCGTGAATTGTAGCTCTCACAGTTCCCATGTGTTGTGGGAGAAAGCCGGTGGGAGATAATTGAATCATGGGGGTGGTTCCCCCATAATGTTCTCATGGTAGTGAATAAGTCTCACGAGATCTGATTTTATAAGGGATTCCCCTTTTGCTTGATTCTCATTCTCTCTTGTCTGCTGCCAGGTAAGACATGCCTTTCACCTTCCGCCATGATTGTGAGGCCTCCCCAGCCACGTGAAACTGAGTTTATATATATATATACACACAAACATAAATATATATACACACATATATACATACACATATATATGTGTGTATATATATGTGTGTGTGTGTATATATATATACACATATATATATAAAGTTTTTTTTTTTTGAGATGGAGTCTCACTCTGTCACCCAGGCTGGAGTGCAGTGGCATGATCTCATCTCACTGCAACCTCCACTTCCCGGGTCCAAGCGATTCTCCTGCCTCAGCCTCCTGAGTAGCTGGGATTACAGGTGTGAGCCACCGTGGCTAATTTTTGTATTTTTAGTAGAGTAGGGGTTTCACCATGTTGGCCAGGGTGGCCTCGAACTCCTGACCTCAGGTGATCCGCCTGCCTCAGCCTCCCAAAGTGTTGGGATTACAGGTGTGAGCCACCACACCCAGCTGAAACTGTGACTTTATTAAAGTTCTTTTTCTTTATAAATTACCCAGTCTCAGGTATGTCTTTATCAGCAGTGTGAAAACGGACTAATACAGTAAATTGGTACCGGTAGCACATCCCTGTGTCTCTTCTGCTTCCTGTAAGGACACCAGTCATATTGGACCCACCCTAACAGTTAAGCATATATGGCCTTGTTTTAACTTAATTGCCTCTTTAAAGGTCCCATCTCCAAATAGTCCAATTCTGAGGTACTGGAGGTCTGGACTTCAACATATGAATTTCGTGAGGGGACAAAATTTCATAACACTCTCTTACGTCCATTTGGACAATCTGAAGGTCTATGCCAGCTCCGGAGCTCCCTGAAGAATGGGCTGAGGCCTCTGTTGTGAGCAAAACAGTTTCTCCTTCACCTATTTCCTGCCTTCTTCATTTTCTCCCAGGTGGATCTCCTGGGATGACATTACATTGCTAAAAATGGCACATAAACTGACTTCATGCCACTCTGTCTTAGAATCTGTTTCCAGAGAGCCTTTCTATGACCCTCAAATTATAGGACACAACGGCTACTTATCTGCGTATATTACAAATTCTGATCTCTGCTTCGGCAATATCACACTAAGTGTGACTGAAGAATTTATTCTCTGAGGAGCAGCACCATTTAAAGAGAAAGATGTGATAATATTACCAGTCTGAGGGGTGACATTTGTACAGTCCTCAGTAGCTGAAAAACGACAGAACAAAGAGTATCAGATGAAGTTTCAACCCTGAGACCCATTTTATGTACCCGTTTTATGTCTCTTTAGTTCCTTTTTGGAGTCATTACATTGCTAAAAATATATGCAATCCTATTTTACCTCTAGAGCTTCCTTTCCAACAGGCTGCTGATTTTGTTGATTAAATAGGCCTATTCACCAAAAGAAAATCTGAATGCTTACCATTGCACATGTACCTTTCTGTTGGTCTTTAGGTCATGGGTTTTGAAATCTCACGTTATTTGACAACACCTTCAAGAGAAGAAGAGTTATGCCTGACTACTACTGGCATTGTAGATGGCAGAATATCTCAGGGTATGTAGGAACTGGTTTCATTAATCCAAAACCTACCTTTCTTCCCCTCCCTGAGGGCATTCCTAAAAAGTATGGGAAGAATGTAGTAATCAATAAGTTTGAAAAAATTAAAATTCTTACCATGTGTCTAGGTGGATTCTGGCACAGTGTTTGTTTGGATAGCCCAGGAAGATTCGTGTAGGGAGTGATGGAAGGTTCTATAATAGCTCCTCCAGCATCTGCCCTTTCCTGCTTTGCTCCAGGTGATGACTTGGTTCTTAGAGGGCTGCTGTCAGCTATTCTGAGATGGGGCATTAGCTAATAATAGCTGGTCCTATGAGCATCGTACCAGGAATTTGTGTAGCCCTGCAGTCATTTAAATTATGAATTCAATTTTGGATTGACAGACTGTGCCAAATACGACTTTAGCCAGAGTATACTTATTGAAGTCAGAACTTGTGAGAACTCAAGAATTACCAGAGCCAATGCACTCTGAATCACATAGTCCTGAGAACTGAGCTGTCCTGAAAGCACAAGGTGTTTCTTTCATTAAACCAGTATTGGATTTATTAATTCATGTATTCACCCATCAAACATTTCCTGAGTCCTTTGTAAGGCACTGAACCTGATCCTAGTAACAAAGACCAATAAGACAGTCTTCACCTTCTAGGAGAGGGGCTGGCACACTTTTTCTCTAAAGGGCAAGAGAGAAACTATTTTAGGCTCTGTGTGCCATACGGGTCAATGTTGAAACTGCTGAATTCTGCCATTGCAGTGCTGAGGCAGCCAAAGACCATATATGAATGAATAATAATAGCTGCGTCCCAATAAAATATTATTTAAGGATGCTAAAATTTAAATTTCGTATAATTTTTTGTGTCAAAAAACATTATTTATTTTTATTTTTCAAAACCATTTAAAAATGTTTTTTAAACATTTTTAGCTCATGAACTGTACAAAATCAGGTGGTGGGCTGAATTTGGTTCGTGGGCCACAATTTACAGGCCTCTGTCTAGGAATGAATTATTGGTCTCTTTGTGGGGATGGACATGCAAATAGGTAATTCCCATATGACTTGTAAATGTGTCAATCAATTAAGACTCTGCTATGGGAATACAATGAGGAAGCCATGGATTCTGCACCAGGGTATGAAAGGAACTTCACAAGGGGGTAGATGTTAGATGTAGATTTTGGAGGAGGGTAGGTTTGCCAAGAGAAGCAGTGAGAGGACCTTTCAGACCATCAAGATATATAGTGGAATAAAGGGCACTGATTTTGAGGCATAATGAGTGGCTCAGAATAGCTACAGCATAGAATCTAGTGTGATGGGAGGTGGTGAGGTAAGGGAAGGAGTTTGAGTGGGATGAGCGATGAGGCTAAAAAAATGAATCAGCTGTTGTGTCAAGTCATTAAGCCTGACTTTATATGCAATGTGAACCTACAGAAATCTAAGCAGGGAAAGTAGGGTAGTTTTTTTTAATAATTAAATTTTTATAATAAAAATTTTAGGCATAGAAAGGTTAATGAATTATATACTTATCAAGCAGCTTCAGAAATAATAAAATTTTTAGACAGAAAAAAGATTAAAGAATTATATAATATACCTATCAAGCAGTTTCAGAAATAACATTACAAATACTGCTGAAGGCCACTGTTACCTCTGTCTGATCATATTTACTAATCCCCTTTTCTAAAGGTAGCTGCTATCCTGAATTTGGAATTTATCATTCTTATTCTATTTTTGTTTTTACTTTTAATACATATATATATGGCTATGTATCCATGGCCATATATATGTGTACATACATATATTTTATAAAATTATATTTTATGTTATATTTTATAATTTATAAAATGTATAATTTATATAAAATTTATAATTATATTTATAATTAAATTTATAATTATATAATTATATTTTGTAATTTGTAAAATTTATAATTTATATAAAATTTATAATTTATAAAATATAATGTTATAAAATATATGTGTGTACACATATATATGACTATGGTTACAGTATTTATTTATTTTTGTTTGTTTTGAGATGGAGCCTGGCTCTGTTGCCCAGGCTGGAGTGCAATGGTGCGATCTCGGCTCACTGCAACCTCTGCCTCCTGGGTTCAAGTAATTCTGCTGCCTCAGTCTCCCGAGTAGCTGGGATTACAGGTGTATGCCACCAAGCCTGGATAATTTTTTATATTTTTAGTAGAGATGGGGTTTCACCATGTTGGCCTGGCTGGTCTTGAACTCATGACCTCAGTTGGTCCACCTGCCTTGGCCTCCCAAAGTGCTGGGATTACCAGCGTGAGCCACCACACCTGGTCTGGATACAGCATTTGTAATGTATATAAAATATATGTGCATACACATATATATCATATTTTTGTATGCTCTGCAACTTGCTTTTTTCATTCAATATTATATTTTTGAGATTGATCTATGTTGATACATGTAATACTAGTTTATTCATTTCATTGCTGTATAAGATTTTATTTTGTAAACAAACCATAATTTATTTATTCCTGTAGATAGACATTTAGTCCTTTTGAGTTTTTCACTTTTCACTATGTTCTAGGGTCTTTTGATACACAGAAATTTTACTTTTAATGTAGTCTTTTTAAAGAAATCCTTTTGGTCCAGAGGTCATAAAGATTTCCTACTATCTTCTAAAAGTTGCAGATAGGGCCTTTAAGGAGGTAATTAAATGAGGTCATATGGATGTGGCCCTAATCCAATAGAACTGGTGTTTTTATAAGAAAAGGAGATGAGGACGCAGATGTATGCACACAAAGAGAAGGCCATGTGAGGACAGAGTGAGGGGGGCCATGTGCAAGCCAAAGAGAGAGGGCTTAGGAGAAACCAAACCTACTCACACATTGATTTAGGACTTCCGGCTTCCGAAACTGTGAGATATAAATTTCTGTTGTTTAATCTATGCAGTCTGTGGTATTTTGTTTTAGTAGCCCAAAGAATCTAATACATCCTCTCCATGTCCCCAAACACAGACAATTTGCCATGACATCTCTGACATATATTGAGTGTCCACATAAGCATGGGGCTGTTTTTATCGTGTTTCATTTTTGGCTATCTCTGCATGAGTACCAAAGATATATAACTAGTCTTCATGCTTGGTATGGCGAATCTTCCAACTTTGTTTTTCTTCACAATTATCTTGGCTATTTTTGTCCCTTTTGTCTTCCTCGTGTATTTGGAAATCAGGTTGTCAGGTCTCACCAAAAATGTCATAGAGTTTTTATTGAAATGGTATGTATTTAGAAACTAATCTGCAGAATACTGTATTCATCCATACATGAACTTGGTACATCTCTTCATTTCTTGAGGTTTTCTGTCAAGTGGTTCAATAAAGGTGTATTGCTGTTTACTTAAAGATCTCATACACATTTTGTTAGATATATTTCTTGTTACTTTATGCTTTTTTATCAGATTTAATTTTTAAGAAGATAAATTGGGTGAAATAAAGGATGGGAAGAGATTTGGAAACAGAGTAGTCAGATGGTAATTTCAGTTTAATTAAGTTAAATGAAACCATAAGAGTTTGAACTAAGACAGTGGTAGTAAGTTTAGAAGAAAGGAGTCTTCCTGGAGTAATTGCTGTAATATAGGTTTAATATTGAGTGTGTATGAGAGATGGAGGTGTCCAATAGGAAATTGAGAATATTTTTGATATGGAGTTAACATAAATGATCTGGTTGGAGATGTGTGTTTGGGAGTCATTAGCATATTCTTTTGATTTATTTTTAATTTGTATTAAAACTTAAGTGGGGAACTGGGATGCTCATTATTGCATAACCTTAAAGACCCCAACAGTGTGGATCTGCTATGTTAAAGTATAGCTCCAGTATATTGTGTGTGGGGCCAGGCGTGGTGGCTCACACCTATAATCCCAGCATTTGGGGAGGCTGAGATGGGAGGGTCACTTAAGCCCAGGAATTCAAGACCAGCCTGGACAACATGGTGAAACCCTGTATCTATAAAAACTTTGAAAAAAATTAGCTGGGCATGGTAGCACATGCCTGTGGTTTCAGCTACTCAGGAGGATCACCTCAGGAAAAAAAGGCTGCAGTGAGCCGTGATTGCACCACTGCACTCCAGCCTGGGTGACAGAATGAGACCCTGTTCCAAAAAAAGGTATATTATGCACAGGGAAGAGTGTATTCGTTTCCTGCCATAACAAAGTACCATAAACTGAATGGCTTAAATAACAGAAATTTGGCTGGGAGCAGGGGCTCACACCTGTAGTCCCAGCACTTTGGGAGACTGAGGTGGGTGGATCACCTGAGGTCAGGAGTTTGAGACCAGCCTGACCAACAGGGTGAAACCCTGTCTCTACTAAAATACAAAAAAAGATTATTGGCAGGTGCCTATAATCTCAGCTACTCAGGAGGGTGAGGCAGGAGAATTGCTTGAACCCAGGAGGTGGAGGTTGCAGTGAGCCAAGATTATGCCACTTTATTCCAGCCTGGATGACAGAGTGAGACTCCCTCTCAAAATCAATCAATCAATAAATAATAGAAATTTATTCTCTCATAATTCTGGAGGCCAGAAGTCCAACATCAAGGTGTCAGCAGGACTGTGTTCCTGGACCTGCTCTTGGGGAGGATCCTTCTTTACCCTTTCCAGCTTCTGGTAGCCCCAGGTGGTCATTTAATTGTGGCAGCATAAATCCAATCTTTGCCTTCATCTTTATGTAGCCCTCTTCTCCCTGTGTGTCTGTGTTTTCACATGACATTCTCCTCTCTGTGTCTCTTTCACCTCTTCTTCTAAGGACACTAGTCATATTGGATTAAAGGCTCATTCCACTGCAGTATAACTTCATCTTAACTTAGCTACTTATATCTATAATGACCCTATTTCCAAATCAGATCACATTTTGAGGTACTGGGGGTTACTCTCCCCTCTATGCAGTGGCTGCCACCCACTTTCAGACTGACTTATAGTTCCTGGCTGATAGAATTGAGAAAGGAGGAGCAGGGAAGAGAGGGTCAAAAGATGGCAAGTGAGCAAAGTAGGTGGGCTTTGTGGGGTTTTATGTGCCTCTGCTTGGACCCCTGGCCATTGTACTCACCAGAAAAGCAGCCTGTTGTCCTCAGAAATATGGGAACCCAAGCCTGTAGATGCCTTGGGAGACTCCAGGGATAAAGATACCTACAAACTTGGATGATTCTACTCCTTGGATGTGTTTGCCTCAGGTTGTTATTAAGCTTCTTGCTGTCACCAAAGGGGGAAAACCAAAACAAAGCACTAGGATTTTTATTTTTTGGATTTTAAAAAAATTAATTTTAAATTTATAATTGACACATAATAATCATACATATTCTTGGGGCACATAATGATGCTGTGATACATATAATATACAGTGATCAGATCAGGATAATTAGCATATCCATCATCTCACACATTTATTATTTCTTTGTGATGGGAACATTCAATATCCTTCCAGCTATTTGAAACTATATAATATATTATTATTAACTGTAGTCATCCTATGGTTGTATTAGTCTGTTCTCATGCTGCTAATAGGAACATACCCAAGACTGGGTAATTTGTAAAGGAAAGAGGTTTAATTGACTCACAGTTCAGCATGGCTGGGGAGGCTTCAGGAAACTTACAAGCAAACACGTCCTTCCTCACATGGCAGCAGCAAGAAGTGCTGAGCAAAAGGTGGAAAGCTCCTTATAAAATCATCAGATCTTGTGAGAACTAACTCCCTGTCATGAGAACAGGATGGGGGAAACCACCCCCATGATTCAATTATCTCCACCTGGTCCCTCCCACGACACATGGGGATTGTGGGAACTACAATTCAAGATGAGATTTGGGTGGGGACACAGCAAAATGATATCAGGTTGTATAGAACACTAGAACTTCTTCCTTTTCAATTTTTTTATTTTTTATTTTTACTGAGCTAAACTTTTTTTTCCTGAATTTTCCTCCCTCTTTGCCCATTTTTCCCTCTGTAGCAATACCAGATTGTCTACAGTCTCTTTCATAGGAGAAATTTTCCAACATTTGAAGACATCAATCATGTGGTTTCTTAACATCTCTTCACATGACATGCTCCCAGGCTCCTTCACTACTTGCCAGTACTATTACCTACCATTTACCGAGCACTCACTGTATGCTAGCCAACATGTTAAGCACTGGACAGACATCATCCTGTTTAATCTTCAGAACAACACTGTGAAATAAATATTGTTACCTCCATTTTAGTGTTGAGGAAACTGAGGTCCAGAGAATTAAGGAACCTGCCCAAAGACACACTGCTGGCAAATAGCAGAAGTAGGATTTCAACATGTGATTGTACGTGTGTTAATTGAACAGTCCAAATGTGCTGGAGTGTGAACATGAAATAGTCTTATCTTTCTCCGAGTCCTTGTCTCCAGACTGTACTATGTTGACCCTCCCTTTCTTTTTGGCAGATGGATTCCCTACAGGACTCATGAGCAGATCTCATAATTTCTGGGCATGTTCCACACCTTGGAGTAGGAATCAGTTAGGGTTGTTCTTGGCTGCAACTAACAAACTACTAGCAGTGGCTTAAGCACGGAAGAACTTAATGATCTCACAGGTGACCTGGGTAGGGAAGGGCCCTGGTCTACTCTACAGCTCTTCTAGACTCTCTCACCTTGGAGTCCAAACGCATGGCCTTCCTTTGGAACACCTTCTCTCTCTCCCACTTCGGGCTCAGCTCCTTTGCAGTGAAAGATTGGAAAGAATAAACATCTCTTACTCAATGACCTATGGGTGCAGTCCCCTTTTTGTTGTTTGTCTCTGCTTTTCTTGCTTCCATGGACTGGCCTTTGAGGTCAGGTGTGTGGCAGGATCTGAATGCTAGCTCTCTTGAGCTACATGCATGTTTTTTGTTTTGTTTTGTTTTTTAGAGCCAGCAATGCTTCTCCAGGGAACAATTCCCTGATACTGGAGAGTAGGATCAGCTTGCCCATTTGCACTCTTCCTTAGTGCCTGCCATCACCTCTGCAACCAGGCTTTCTGCTGCTTGGGTTCTTTTGCCCGGTGGATTGCAATAAGAAAATGGCTCAAGGTTGACTTTCTTCCAGCGAATCTGTTGGCCGATGGGGCACTCCTGCACTCCTGCTGCACCATATGATGAAAGGCAGGCTGATCTGCTGTGGTTTCTTGCTCCACTTTACCATCTCACTCTAGTCATTATTGTAATTCTTTTAATTTAAGGACATTCAATGGGAGTTTTATTTAGAATACCTAAGAATTCCAAATGGATCAAATCTCAGTGATAGGGAAATGGTTTAATAAAATGTAATTCAATTTTACAATAAAATAATTTGTGGTCACTAAAAATCATGTTTTTAAGGAATAGTTAATTTCATGGGACTATGTTCACAATATAATAGGAAAAATTGCTAGTGGTTTACAGTATAATCCCAAATTTACATAATACACATGAACACACGCACACACACACATGCACTAGTTCATCTTAGAAGAAATACAACACAATGTTAATAGAGGTCTTGTCTGGACAGCAGGATTATAGGTTACTTTAATTTTCTTTGTTATAGTGGGGTTTTTATTTTTGTTTTCCTTCTCCCATTTTCTGCAACCAATATATATTGCATTTTTAAGCAAGGGGAAAAGATTTTAATTCTATCTGAATTTTAAGCGATATTACCATAAGTCATAATTTTTTGCCACTTGTAATAAAGGCCATGATCTAGGACTTTTCCATTAGAAATAGTGTGGAAACCATTTTGAGAATGAAAAATGATTAGGATGAGCAAAGAAATGCCTGTCTAAGCATTTCACCAATTGCTAAAGGGATCTGTAGTTAAGATCAGATACTGCTCTATGTTATTTATAACTGTGGTATGTAATAATAATTCAATTAACTACACAGTAAATTGAGTATACTTCTCATTCCATAGTGTGGCTCCAGTTATTCTTGCTAAATCCTCTTGCTGTCTTGAAAGCTTTGAGATTAAAAATCCTTTCTGCTGTTACTATAGATTCCAACTATTTTTTAATTAACAAGTTCACACCTTAAGCAGATGTTGGACCCAAGAATGAGATGCTACAAAGCCCTTTCTTGCAGATACCCACAATCTCAGTGACTAATTCTCTTGAAGAGCCTCTCAGTTTGCTTGAGAGTGGAGAGAAAACTTCCTTCCCATGAAACTGCACTCTCTACTAATCCAAAGATTGTTTCTCCCTGTTTTCTTCAGAGGGAGCCTGGGTGGTAGCAGGGGCAATTCTTTATTTCTTTCTTTTTTTTTGAAATGGAGTCTCGCTCTGTTGCCCAGTCTGGAGTGCAGTGGCCGGATCTCGGCTCACTGCAACCTCTGCCTCTCGGGTTCAAGCGATTCTCCTGCCTCAGCCTCCTGAGTAGCTGGGTCTACAGGCGCCCGCCATCACACCCAGCTAATTTTTGTATTTTTAGTAAAGACGGGGTTTCACCATGTTGGCCAGGCTGGTCTCAAACTCCTAACCTCAGGGATTCCGCCCTCCTCAGCCTCCCAAAGTGCTGCGATTACAGGCATGAGCCACCGTGCCCAGCCCTTTATTTCTTAATAGGTCAAAGAGGTATCTCAGTTGTTTGGCAGGTCTCTGTAGGAACTGGAGGTCTTAGCACCTCTTTATACCATCTTTGGGTTTTAACTGTCAATTCAGGGTCTACAGGAAAAGGCCTAAATATCCTGTTACACTCTTAATCACTATATGATATAGAGTCTTCGGTATTCTCCTCACCTCACATATTTTACTAGAGACACTATTAAAATATATTGCTTCCCAGAGCAAATTTTCCCCTTACTGAACTTTTCTAGCTCTCTGAATCAGAGGTTTCTTAGCAGAGCTGTAGGAGCAACCAAAGAAAATTGTAGACTAGGCTGGGCATCGTGGCTCACACCTGTGATCCCAGCACTTTGGGAGGCCAAGGTGGGAGGATTGCTTGAGCCCAGGAATTTGAGACCAGACTGGAAACATAGTGAGATCTTGTCTCTACAAGCAAAAAATTAAAAAATAAAAATTAGAAAAAGAGAAAATTGTAGGCTAGATACTATGACGTGGCTAACACAATGCCTAGCTTATAGTTGGCAGGGTAAAAATGGTAATTATTCCTTTATATTTTCTTTTTCTTTTTTTTTTTTTTCTTTTTGAGACAGTCTCACTCTGTCACCCAGGCTGGAGTGCAATGGCGCAATGGCGCAATCTCTGCTCACTGCAACCTCCACCTCCCAGGTTCAAGCAATTCTTGTGCCTCAGCCTCCTCAGTAGCTGGGACTACAGGTGTGCACCACCGTGCCTGGATACTTTTTGTATTTTTAGTAGAGATGGGGTTTTGCCATGTTGGCCAGGTTGGTCTCCTGACTTAAGGTGATCTGCCCGCCTCAGCCTCCCAAAGTGCTGGGATTATAGGTGTGAGCCACCGTGCCTGGCCTCTATATTTTCAAGTCAAAAGGATTCAAGTACATTTCCTGACTATTGACCTTTTTAAAATCAATTTACAGAGGTTCAGTATTGCTCCTTTTGATAATGGCAGCTCACTTTAGGGCACATATTGTTAGGAATACTTTTGGCTGTAAGTAACGTAATACCAATAAGTAGTAGCTCATGCTACGAAGTATTGAATTATCTCCCTTAACAAGAAGTTTGGGGGTGGGCATTTCCAAATTTGGTGCAGCAGCTCAAGTGTCTTCAAGGACACTTCAAGGACACTTCCTACTATCGTTCTGCTCTGCTGTTCCAAGCATGTGCTTTTTCATGCTAAGCTATGCTGCTTCATGGTTGCCAGATAATACAACAGCTCCAGACATTGTGACTACATTGAAGGTAACAAACAAGTGGAAGGGGTGGCAAAGTCCTTTCTTCTTCTTCTTTTTTTTTTTTTTTTTTTTTTTGAGATGGAGTCTCGCTCTGTCGCCCAGGCTGGAGTGCAGTGGCGCGATCTCGGCTCACTGCAAGCTCCGCCTCCCGGGTTCACGCCATTCTCCTGCCTCAGCCTCCCGAGTAGCTGGGACTACAGGAGCCCACCACCTCGCCCGGCTAATTTTTTGTATTTTTAGTAGAGACGGGGTTTCACCGTGTTAGCTAGGATGGTCTCAATCATCTGACCTCGTGATCCACCCGCCTCAGCCTCCCAGAGTGCTGGGATTACAGGCGTGAGCCACCGCGCCCGGCCCACAGAGTCCTTTCTTCTTATTAGAGGTCCTTTTTAAGGGAGATAAAATGTGTTTCCTATAATCCCTGTTCCCCCAACGAGCAAACCTTTAGCCAGAACTGGGTTATATAGCTGCTACTCTGGCTGAAAAGTAGGTTGGCAAGGCAAGTTTCTGAGGCTTTTATCCTTTATAATTTGAGGCAGGTAAGGAACAAACGGGCAGAGAATGGTTTTGAACTAGGAAGCCAACAGCGTCTGTTACAGTGGGGATGTTGGATGGAGGGGAAAAAAAGTAATTTTACCTTTCCACTTTTCTGGTGATATGTTTTGATACAATTAAGTGGTTGGAGAAGCAACAATTTCTTTTAAACTGTGATTTAGGCTTATAAGTTTAGAGCTGAAATATTTATTTTTATGATATTTTCAGCATATAGCATAAGCAAATCATATACATTTTTCCCGTAATATAAAAAACACTGACAACAATGTCTCATTTGTTTGCTTCCTGGTGTTTAATTATACATATAAAAGTCAACTTCCAGGCAGGGTGCAAATCAGAAAATCTAGCCAGCCCGTGAGCTTCAGGCCTGACTTCCTTTCTCCTTCTCTTAAGTGCTGTCCAGATCTGAACAACTCCTAGAGAGAAGAGGCAATGCTGAGTTCAGGCTTCTTCCAGGAATAATCGAATACACTTGGAGGTGGCCATGCTCATGAGGGCTGCATATTTTGGGAGAAGTGTTTTCCTCATTGCAAGAACGGGGATAAGACAGTCAAGTAACATATTTTGAGTGCCAGTCCCATGGACCCTTATTCCAAGATAGGAAAAAAAAAAAGAAGAAGAAGAAGAAGAAAAAGAGATCTGTTATTCCTTAGTAAAAACTCACTATCTTGGGATTGTATCTATTTCCCAGGAGGCATTAGAAATCTGTAGTAGAGGCCGGGTGCGGTGGCTCATGCCTGTAATCCCAGCACTTTGGGAGGCTGAGGCGGGTGGATCACGAAGTCAGGAGATCGAGACCATCCTGGCTAACACGGTGAAACCCCGTCTCTACTAAAAATACAAAAAAATTAGCCGGGCGTTGTGGCGGGCACCTGTAGTCCCAGCTACTCAGGAGGCTGAGGCAGGAGAATGGCGTGAACCCGAGAGGTGGAGCTTGCAGTGAGCCAAGATTGCGCCACTGCACTCCAGCCTGGGCGACAGAGCAAAAGTCCGTCTCAAAAAAAAAATAAATCTGTAGTAGAGGGTGGGTGCAGTGGCTCATGTCTGTAATCCCAGCACTTTGGGAGGCTGAGGTGGGAGGATCACTTGAGCTTAGGAGTTCAAGACCAGCCTGGGCAACATGGCAAAACACCATCTCTACAAAAAATAGAAAAAATTAGCCAGGCGCAGTGGTGTACGCCAGTAGCCCCAGCTACATGGGAGGCTGAGGTGGGAGGATTGATGGAGCTCAGGAGGTTGAGGCTGCAGTGAACGAAGATCATGCCACTGCACTGCAGCCTGGACGAGAGAGACCTTGTCTCAATAACATAAAATAAAAATAAAAAAGGAAAATCTGCTGCAGAAATGCTCTGGACTGTGGTACCTGACAAATTGGGACCTCTGACAGTGTCCGGTTTCCTCCTCCAGCCCCAGCCTAACCCTGTAGGCGGCAGAGATGTTAAAGACACGTGCGAGTCTGAGAAAGTAGACAGCAGAGACATCCCTCGGGAAAGTGAGGATGGGACCTGGTGGGGGAAGAAACGAGAGAGAGGCAGAAGACATTTGTGCGCATCAGTTTGGGAGAAGTTGACCACAATCTCTTTTTCCCCCTGCTCTATTGCCTTGGGAAACTCACAGCTTGCCACCTGTGGGATGAACAGCAGTGTCCGTTCCGTGCTGTGGACATGGGGTAGAGATAACATCAGGGAGACAGTGGAGCTGGCTGATGGGTCCACTAGTGAGCGTTCCTTCCTCTCTTGTTCCCCCTCCACACCCTGAGCAGTAGATGATTACAATCAGGGGGAAATTTATCTTGAAGAGCAATGCCTGGGTTGGAGAACAAAAAGCTTGTCTGAAGGTCAGGATTGTGCTGAAGACGGGGCAGTGAAGAAGGGATGTGTGTGTATGTGTGTGTGTGTGTGTGTAGGAGACAGTGATGAAACAAACTCAGATTATGATTCAGGGGTCTTTCTACCTTGTCCTGGGCCATGTCCTTGCCCTCCTTAAATCTAACAAGAGTGCCATATGCTAGGGCCTCCCACAAGATCCACATTTCTGGGCAACGTGAAGGTGTGAGGAAAATGAGCTGAGGGACATCTGGGGAGCATGGCACAGTGAGAAACAACATGCGAAGCAAGCAGAGAATGAGGGCTCACCAAATGCTTTTGTGCTCATCTGCCACGTTCCAGCCTCCCTTGCAGTTGGTTTGGGGCCACTTGGCTAGTTCTAGCTAATGGGATGTGTGTAGAAGTGAGTTCTCTGTGTTTTATTTTTGTTTTTGCTACTATTTTTGTGACTTGCAGTGAAGAACTTTAAGACAGTGCAGTTGTAATGTGAAGTAGTCTGGGTCACAGTTGCTAGAGAGCAAGGAAAGCCATGCAACTGTGAGTGAGAAATAAAAATTTGTTGTGTGAGCCACTGAAATTTCCAGGATTGCTCATTACTGCAGCATATCTTGCCCGTCCTGTCGTATTGCTGTAGGAACCAGAAATAATCACATAGACCAAGAATTTAAAATAAGCACAAAAAGAACTTCAAAGAAGTGATTGGATATTTGTGATGATGCAGAGATAAGAAGTTATAAAGGACCACATGCTGGAGATATTGATTATATTAAAAATAATGGTTAAAATCGACCTGAGAGATGGGATACATAGTGGAAAGTGTATACAGTAGTTGAAGAATTGATTAATGAGCTGCAATATCAGATCAAGAAACAACCCCGGAAGGCAACACAGTGTGGACAGAAAATGAGGGGGAAAAGTTAAAACAAAACAAAACGGAAGAGGGGCAATACAGGTGATTTATGATCATGAACTATGAATTGACTACAAGGAACTTTACAAAAAATGGAGAAAAGAGAAAGTAAACACAGAACTGGCCTCATGAGATCTATGTTCTGGCCCTGACTCTGGTGCTAGCTTGCTGTGTATCTTGGGCAAATCATTCAGCCCTCTGAAGCTTCATGTCCTTAACCTACAAACTCCTAAAGAGTAAGAGTGGTTTGGTAGAAAGAGTTAGATGGCCTGGGACTGAATCTTTTTTTTTTTTTTGGCAGGGTCTCACTGTTGCCCGGGCTGGAGTGCTGTGGCGTGATCATGGCTTGTGGCTCACCAGTCTCAATCTCCTCAGGCTCAGGTGATCAGCCTCCTGGGTAGCTGGGACTACAGGTGTATGCCACCTTGCTCAGCTAATTTTTTTTTTTTTTTTTTTTTTTTTTTAGAGATGAGGTCTTGAACTCCTGGGCTTAAGAAATCCACCCACCTCAGCCTCCCAAAGTGATCACAGGCATGAGCCACCTCTCCTGGCCCTGGGAATAAATCTTAACTTTGTCACTACCTTGGTCTACTTCTGACTCTCTTAGAATATTAATTTCTTTTATGTCAACTAAAGGTAATATACCTATCTAGTATGTTCCTGGCACACAGCAGATACCTCACTATACTTCCCATTTCCTTCATTTTAGGAAAATTCTAAGACTAAAATTAAGATTCTTGTTCAACACAGTACCCTCACAGGTGAAGACACTGAAAAAATAGAGAAGTAAATAACTGGCACAAAGCATATTCACCAAGGAGATGTCTGCCTCGTGACTGGTATTCAATTCTCTTGATGTGGAAATTGTTGATCCCCCCAACAATCACTTCTTGCTGTCTTGTGAAGCTAAAGCTTAGTCATAAGAAGAATCTATCTTCTTTTGTGGAAATCTTATTTCTTATAAATTATTCAGTCTCTCATTCAGCCTAATGAAGTAGTTGAATTTCACAGAAACCGAGTGAGAGGTGAGTGGTTGCTCCAGAACAGCAGAAAAGCTAGTGGCAGTGGCTTGGAACACACCTTTCCTCAACACGAAGCCAAGGGTCAAATGAAAGAAAAAATGTGAATACATTTATATGTCTGGCCAGTGATTAAAAAAATGTTGCTCTTTTTAATATCTCATCAACATCAATGATTACATTCTTTTCTGGTGCAAATGTAGTAAGTGGTTAATTTGAAAGTATAAAAATGTGTAAGGAAGAAAAATAACCAAGAGTGATACCATTTAAACGATATTACTTAGCGCTGGTATATTTCTTTCTATTTTCTTTTCCATTAAGATATTTACCAAGCACATTTGAATGTATAATTTTATATTTTGCCATTTATCCTTAACATTATAACAGAGGCACACAAGGCGTTTTGCATCTTGTTTTTTTTCCATTTATTGTGATATCTTTGACATCTTGTCACATTGGCATATGTAGACTTACCTCATTCTTTTTAATAGCTGTATGGTATGAACATAACACAGTTTTTTTAATGAACACAATGTTATTTCATAGTCTTCTTTACCATTGAGATATTTACCAAGCATATTTAAATATTTAATTTTATATTTTTCCATTTATCCTTGACATTATAAGCATTTCATGTTATTTCATAGTCACAATATTATCACAATGTTGAATGGCTGTATAATATTTTATTGCAAATGGCAGTTTAACTCTTCTATTAATAATTTGGTTTGCTTCCAACTTTTTGCATTATATCGGTAATGTAACAAATATCTTCATGAGTAAAGTTTTTTTGTATTAAAGTTTACTGGGCTAAAGAATATAAACATTTGTAATGCTTGTGACACACAGTACTTCTCCAAAAGGATCATATTCAGTTTACATATAAAGTGTCATTTTAAACTTTCAGTTTAATTATTCTAATTTTAAATTTATTTATTATACTTATTTATATTTAAAACAAAATAAAACAAGCATTTCTTAAATTACAGATCATTGTCAACATTTTACATGGTGCCGAGATGTATAAAGTTTAAAGTGAGGCTGGGCGCAGTGGCTCATGCCTGTAATCCCAGCACTTTGGGAGGCTGAGGCAGCCGGATCATTTGAGGTGAGGAGTTCGAGACCAGCCTGACCACATGGTGAAACCCTGTCTCTACTAAAAATACAAAAATTAGCTGGGTGTGGTGATGGGCGCCTGTAATCTCAGCTACTCAGGAAGCTGAGGCAGGAGAATTGCTTAAACCAGGGAGGCGGAGGTGGCAGTGAGCCGAGAACGCTCCACTGCACTCCAGCCTGGGTGACAGAGTAAGACTCTGTCTCAAAAAATAAAAAATAAAGTGAAATTATCCCATAATGTTATTTCCCAATGTAATTACTGTTTATAGTTTATTGTATATTCTTCCAAAATTTTTGATATGCATATACTGACATTTATTGCAGTCATTCTCTGTATTAAAAACACGCATGGCGTTTTGCATCTTGTTTTTTTTTCCATTTATTGTGATATCTTTGACATCTTGTCACACTGGCATATGTAGATTTACCTCATTCTTTTTAATAGCTGTATGGTATGAACATAACACAATTTTTTTTATCCCATCTTTGATGGACAGTTGGGCTTGTTCCAAGTTTTTTCCTGTTACAGACAATACTGCAATGAGAGTTCATGTATATATGGTTTAATGAGCATTTACTGCTGTGAAAATGTGACTTTGGAAATTGTTGGCAAGATGATTCTCTCAGTGTGCTGAAACATACAATATTGAAACATCATTTAAAATTTTAAATTTGAATTGAGTCATTGTCATTAAAACCAGGTTAAAATCACAGTGATCTTTTCCTCTTATATAGGAATGAATCCTCTTGCTCCAGATGGAACATAAAGCTCCTTAAATTGAAATTCATTGCACGGGGGCTCTGATGGCCCTTAACAGATGGAAGAACAATCTCATTTGGGTGGTTATGTAATTCAGTGATTATCATGGAACCCTTCAGATACCATCAGACAGAAGGTGGACAGAGTGAGGCTCTGCGGCAAAGGCAGGTGCCATGGCTATAGATTCACTATACTTGTTTCTCTGCATTTATTTGCATCAATAAGACCAGAATCAAGATCTGAGCAGTATAACATGATCTGGTCTAATGACCAACTTTGGAATCTCAGAAATCAAACATTGGGATGCCAGTTGGAATTCAACTAGTTTCTAGTTAAACAACCTTGAGAGGGTCGTTCCATCTCTCTGAAAGCCTTATTTGTACAAGTATGCTAGACAATGCCTCTAGAAGGAGGTTATGATATTAATATTCATTCAATAGATATTAGTTGAGGATTATGTGGCAAGAACTTTTCTGGGTTCTAGAAATACAAGTGTCAATAACATAGATGAGAATCTATTTTTATTTTTCTCAAAGGTGACATTGTTACCTGCCTTAACTGAAAGTAATCAACTGATCTGCTTGGATTTAACCAACTAAGTTTAGCTTTTATGCATTGCATTTTCTTGGTAATGCAGGCTTGCACCAAGGCAGACTATTAGCCAAATCGAAAGATCCTGTTTGAGCTTATCTATTCAACAAAGTACTATTTCTCCTGCCTTATATTATGGCTAAATTTAGAACTCATCATTTCAACACACACTGAAACAAACCAACCTACCTTCCTTCCTTCCTTCCTTCCTTCCTTCCTTCCTTCCTTCCTTCCTTCCTTCCTTCCCTCCTTCCTTCCTTCCTTCCCTCCCTCCCTTCCTCCCCTCCTCCCTCCCTTCCTCATTCCCTTCCTCCCTCCCTTCCTACCTTCCTCCTGCAACAATGCCCAGAACAAGCATCAAGAGCAGCAACTGGCACATAGTAGTACAAAATAAATTTGATCGACTAGATTTCTACAAATATTTATTGTCTAAATTTCATGCAATAGAATGGCTGTGGGGTATACAAAGATAAATAAAATATAATTTCTACTTTCTAAGATCTCATACCTAGTTAAGAGATAGTTATAACAACCAGAAATATGCTGAATGTTTTAAGAATTATGTGCATAGGTCATCTACCTCCATATCTCCAAGTTAAGTTGCCATTTTCTCTTTTCATTGTTCTATTCGACCTACCCTAGACTTTTATCTACATTTGTCTAAAATTGGCACACCAGATAAATTAGGTTATCTAATTTATCTAAAATTGGCAGACCAGATAAATCAAACAACTTTGTGTGTGTGTGTGTTTTGGTGAATCAGAGATTACATTTTGTATCCTTTTCAAGAGAGTGTTTGTAGGCAGCATTGGTAAATGTTTTATACTTGTTTGCAAAGCTGGTATAAATATTTCAGGACACAATTGAGCTTTTCTCATTAAAGCCCATTTTTCTGTCTCTGTATGCAGAAGTTTCTAGCTGTGGAGAGAAAGTACTATTTAAAATAATTGTGAAGATCCTAATTCTATGGCAGCTGTGACAAATGGACCTTTTCTGCTCTATTAGGTTTTGATGAGCTTATTTTTAGTTAAAACAGTAACTTTTGTTACTAAAAAACTCTTAATTTGATCTCTATTTTCAAAATTTGCTCCCACTTAAAGTCTATACTGAGCTTGAAATCAGGATCCATTTATTTTTCAAACCAGTAGCACAATCTGCATCACAGTTCTCAGTCAGATTTGATATTTATAGTAGGGTTTCTAGATACCCTAAAGCTTCCGTCTGATATTTCTGCAAATTAGGAAAAACAGTGTGAATAAACAACAAGCTACTTTCTGTAGAGCGACATTTAAACGTAATGCAGGAATGGATGTGTGAAATTTTAATTTCCCCTTAGGTCACTTTTAATATTCTACCCATAGATGGCAGCAAGTGACCAGGCAGCTAAACCCCCAGGCCTTCTAGCCAGTCTTTATCAGGTGGATCTGTTGTAAAGCCACAAGAAAGGGAAAGCCATGGCTGAGAACAGATCCCATCTCTGGAGATTGTTTCATTCAGTCGTCTTAGATGGCTCTTCTCTTCAGATGTGGAGAACTTTGTTGTGTTTGGATTCTTCTTCTGAGGCTTAGGAGAAGTGTCCTTGTAGCACTGAAGGAATGCCTAAGGCCAATCAGAAAGGGCATGAGGCTGAGGGCTTCTCTGGACTGCTCAGTGCCTTCTGCCTTGGCTCCTTTATCTCTGAGCATGATGGAGTGGAAATTCCCCTGAAAATTCAGCCTTGCCTACGTGGTCCCTAGGAGTCTGGAGTTCCTTGCTCTTATTTTTCAACCTCTCAGCAAATTGTATTCTTGGGCAGCTCATATCTTGAATCCTGCTGTGCACCATTGGCCCCATGGGGTTGGAGGGTCAACCTGCAGGTGACTTTTAACAGGATAACCTAAGGTAGGCATAAACTGGTTGATGGGTATACATACATTTATTTTGTTCTTATTATTTCTTTAGCACCGTGTAAATACTTTATATACATCATCCTATTTGCTCCTCACAAGACCTCTACAAACTAGTTATTATGAATCTCGTTTGGCCAATGAGGAAATAAAAGTAAATTAATTTGTTTGAAGTCACAAACCCAGTGTAAACAGCTTTAGCTACTTTAAGGAGGCTGCTTCTTAGAATGTGGTAAGACTTGGATCACATTCTCAGCCAGTAGGTACAGATCACTACCATGTGCATAAGGAGTGATACACATGTTCCACAACCTTGAAGACTTTACAGTGAGAGGTTCTACACATAGAAAAAAGATAGAAAGCAGCAGAAAAATTTAAGAAAATCCAAATTATGATAATTGGAACTTCTGGAAGACACTGGAATAAAAGGGATGTCTTAGGGTTTTCAGGTTTTCATAGAAATGAAAGAAGCCAGAGTAGAAATGGAAGCTAAACAGGGGCCTGATCAAATTCAAGATGGAATATCCTACTCTTCCAGTTTCCCTTGAGTGGTGTAACATCAAGCACTTGGCTATCCTCAGCAAACTAACACAGGAACAGAAAACCAAACAACACATGTTCTCACCTATAAGTGGGAGCTGAACAATGAGAACACACGCACATAGGCAGGAGAACAACACACACTGGGGCCTGTGTGGTAGAGGGTGGGGAGAGGGAGAGCATCAGAAAAAAGAGCTGATACATGCTGGGCTTAACATTTAGGTGATGGGTTGATAGGTGCAGCAAACTACCATGGCACACATTTACCTGTGTAACAAACCTGCACATCCTGCACATGTACCCCAGAACTTAAAATAAAATAAAAAAGAAGTTGGCTAATAGCCTCACATTGTAAGGGCCAAGATATGGTGAACAGGATCCTCAAACTCTCATAGAAATCTAGGATCTGGATCTACTGTGGGTGTCTCTGACTGTATAAGGTCTCCTGAAGCATCAGGAATAGAT
The DNA here is from genome assembly GCF_000001405.40 of Homo sapiens. Lineage (NCBI taxonomy): Eukaryota > Metazoa > Chordata > Mammalia > Primates > Hominidae > Homo > Homo sapiens. The sequence goes on from NC_000006.12 coordinate 13,910,582, forward strand.
AGTTTATAAGAATCCAAAGCTTACAAATGGCCAATAAGCACATGCAAAAATGCTCAACATCATTAGTCACTGGGGAAATGCAAATCAAAACCAAAATGAGATACTACTTCACACCAAGTAAGATGGCTAGAATCTAAAAGTCAGAAAACAAATGTTGGTAAAGATGTAGAAAATTGGAACCCTCATACACTGCTGGTGAGAATGAAAAAAAAACGCAGCCAGTTTGGAAAACAGTCTAGTGGTTCCTCAAATGATTTAACGTAGAATTACCTATGAAATTCTACTTCTAGGTTTATACCCAAAGAAAATGAAAAAGCATGTCCACACAAAAACTTGTACATGACTGTTCATAGCAGGATTACTCATAATAGCTAAAATGTGGGAACAACCCAAATGTCCATCAACTGTTGAATGGGTATATTCATACAATGTCATGAATGAAATACTGATTCACACTACAACATTTATGAACCTTGAAAACATGATGCTGAGTGAAAGAAGCCAGCCACAAGAGACCACATATTGTATCATTCCATTTATATGAAATCTCCAGAGTAGGCAAATCTGTAGACATGGAAAGCAGATTAGTGGTTGCCTAGGGCTGGGGGCAAAGTGTAGGAGGATCAGAAGGTGATAGCTAAAGGGTATAGGGTATTTTTTTGAGGTGATAAAAAACGTTCTGAAATTGATTGTGCTCATGGTTTTCCAACTCTGTAAATATACTGAAAACCATTGAGTTATACACTTAAAGTGGGTGAATTGTATGGCATGTGAATTATATCTCAAAAAAGTTGTTTTTAAAAAAAGAATCCATAATCAGCTACAGCTACTTAATGTAGAGCTTATTTGCCAGGTAGTATTCTAAGCACTTTGCATATGTTAACTCTTTTAATCCTCAGCACAATCTCACCAGATAGGTAATTTAATCTTGCCCATTTTACAGATGGAAAAACCAAGACACAGGGGTATGAAGAGTCTTGCCCAAGGTTACTTAGTTTACAAGAAAGGCCACATTAGAATCTCTTGTGTAAAACTGGAAGGGCTTCAGAAATTCTGCTCTTAATCATAGGCCATACTGCTTGTGAGAGAAGAGATCTGTGTGTGTGATCACCTCGTTAAACCCCCTTCATTTTATATATGGAAAAACAAGGCACGCTTAGGGTGGAGCTGCCATAGAGCCAAGGCTACTGCTCCTGGTTTGAGACGCAGTGGTATCATGTTAGCTAGGCACTAAAGGGTTAGGCAGGACAAACTCAGAGTCATTCACTTACACAGGGGACCATTTTTTCTTAGAAATTATTATTATTATTTTTGAACCTGGGATATGAGTCAGGTCAAAATGCATAGATGGTGGAGGGGGGGCTGTTAAAAAGAAGAAAATGAGGATGCAGGCAATAAAATTAGTTGGGGATTTGGGAGTTCATAGAAGTAAAGTGAAATAATATGCAAGCATGTCCATGAAATATTGCCTGTTTCATTTTTCATTATGTATTATCAGAAGATTTCAAGGGAACTAAATTTGTAGAAAGATCTTGCTTGAAGTCAGAATGGTTCTTTTTCTGTGAGAAACTATTAGGTGTTCCACATTCCTCTTCTGTGTCACCATTGTGTCTAAGGAGGAAGGGAGTGGATCCCAGGCTATGGAGACAGATGGGGAAGCAGAAACAAGCCTTGGCATTCTATTAAGTGACTTAAAGTTACAGAATATCGAAGAAAGCCTGAATTACCATATGATCACCATTGTTCCTCATAGTTATCTTTTTTTTTTTTTCTTTTTGTGAGACAGAGTCTTGCTCTGTCGCCCAGGCTGGAGTGCAGTGGCATGACCTCAGCTCACTGCAACTTCCACCTCCAGGGTTCAAGCAATTCTCCTGCCTCAGCCTCCTGAGTAGCTGGGATTACAGGCACCTGCCACCATGCCTGGCTAATTGTATATTTTTAGTAGAGATGGGGTTTTTCCATGTTGGCGAGGCTGGTTTTGAATTCCTGACCTCAGGTGATCTGCCCACCTCGGCCGCCCAAAGTGCTGGGATTACAGGCGTGAGCCACCGCGCCTGGCCAGTAGTTATCCTTCTTGTATTGTTATCTTCCCTAAATCAGCTTTCCACAAGAGTCCTCTGCTAGCTTTTGTGCTCCTCCTGTCTCTTTACAGTATTGGCAGTTAGTTTGCCCCAAGGTCCTCTGAGTTTTCTTTGAGGCTGAGCTATCTTTCTGTTCCCTGGCATTTCTGTCATCCTTCTTGAATTGCTCAATTGCGCTGTTCATTCCCCCTGCAGTCTCTTAAATGGCTCAAAATGGAGCACAGCTTCAAAGAGCACTCTGATATTTGTAGTCTTACATGTGATTTGTAACCTTGAAGGTTTCCCATGGAGGAATTTATATATCTGTGAGCAATGTTAGATTACAACATGTTCAAAAAGAACATTGCAGTAAACGTGTGAACGCCAAGACATGGGGGATGAGTAAATCCATGCAAAAGTAAATCAAATAAATTTGAGGTGAGAAAGAACAACAACAAAAATGAAGGACACAAGGTGGCATACTGTGAAGCAGTGATAAGAGATAAATGACAGCTGTAGTCAGGCTAGCAGGAAGTGATAAAGGTTGGGTGACTCAGTTTGAATGAATGAAAGCTGATGGTGATGGACAGATCGAGAGGAATTTTCCCACAAGTCAGGACAAGCCTCCACGTCAAATAATTATACATAAGCCCCTATTTAATTTGGCAATCAACATGAAAGCAATGAATAGTGATAGCCTTTCAGCTTAATTTAGGTGAGTGTAAGATAAGTGTTTTCGGTAACTGTGTATAAAAGTATCCAGGACAATAAAACAAGCTACAGCTTAAATCAAGTGGACAATCCTGGTCTTTTAGATTCAGCCTTTCATCATGATCCCTGTTGATGATGATGATGATGATGATACCAATAGTAGGTTATGATTGTTATATGACTGGGTTTGGATTCATTTATATAGGAAGTTCTTCATTCGCTCCTAACAGTGCTGATTTACTGTTTGTAAGAAACTTCTCGGCATTGAACTAGATGGAGAGCAGTAGGGAGCATTTGGCAGGTGTCTGCTCAACAACTGTTTCCTTTTTCGTACTCTTAGAAGTCCTTTTTTTTTTTTTTTTTTTTTTTTTTTTTTAACCTGCCAGTGTGTCCAGCCCCAGGGAATGATGTGATTGGCCCATGCCAATCATGGTTTCAGAAATTCCCTTTGACTATGATTGGCTCAGGGATGAGCATGTGACCCCAATCAATCTATTGAGACTTCAGCCACCGAGGGTTTCTGGGAAAAATGTTGCTCCCTGATTAAAGGGAGAAGGATGATGAGAAATGCATTTTGTCACTTTCCATTTCCTCCTGTTTGGATGTATTTGTGTGAAGACATGAAGTTCGCAGCCATGCCAGCCATTTTGTGCTTGTAAGGGAAGCTCCTGCCAGCCAACTGGGAAAACAGAGCAGAGATCACAAGAGCCCAGCCTTTGCTGACACCATGAGCTGCTGGAATCGCCTACCTCTGGATGTCTTGCTTTGTGAAATAAACACCTATCATTTGGACTGATTTTATTCAGTGATTTCCCTCCTCATAGTTAAAAGCATCCTACCTGACAGGAGAACTTTAATAATTTAACATTTGCTGCCACAAGCGTGAAAACAACCAGTGCATCCATTTGAGGTGTAAGCAGTGAGTTTGTCCCCATGTCCCCTGAGGTGAGTTGGCTTTCTGCTCCCCAGGACTATAATCATCTTAGTCATCTGATTTTGTGCACATGCATTACAGTTTTACAAATAAAGTCCCTGAAGAGAGAAACAAAACCAAATTAAAAGTTTGCTTAAGCAAATTGATCCTGTAAAATCCTTTTGGAGTAAAAGCTGATGAAATAAATGTGTCTCCAGTACTAGGGTGCTCAGGGCTGTTAAACAGGGCAAAAGTCCAAGAAAGGAAAAAGACCTTCCCACAAAAGAAGCACAGATGAGTAATTAGGGACTAGGGAAAGGAAGCTCAGACTGCAATTCCAAAGCTGTGCTTTTGTGCCAATAAGAGTGCTTTCGGAGCAATGAGGCAAGTTAATTTCCAGGCCACATTTTACAAACTGGCACCTCTTCAGTTTGCCGTAACCCCAAAACAAACAAAACCCCAAACAACCAACTACCACTTCCCACACAAAATAGAAAGACAAAACAAACCTTTGATGTGCACTTTCACTCGTCAGCTAAACATAATGCCACAGCAGTGTCCCGGATGGAAGTTACACCTGGGGTGGGAATTCTATGTCAAACGAAATACTTAACTCGTTAATTCAACAAACTAACTGCCAAGGGAGGGCAAGACACCACGCTAGGGGCTACATGGGATTCAAAGATAAGGCACCAAACTTTTGTTTTTGACATATGCAAATGCCACTCGAGCACAAAATGTAAGGTTGTAAGCTCTGCAAGAAAGATACAAGGTTATATGCTATAGAAGATGATAGATGAGAGAGATTCCATCCCACTCAAAGAATGAGAGATTGTTTCCTGGCAGTGTGGGCATTTGAAGTGAGCATTGAAGGGTGGGTAGTATTTGAACCTGGGAGAGTGGGAGAAAAAGGACACTCCAAAGCTGAATGAACACGTTGTTACAGAAGAATACTGTATCTTAGTTTAGCCAGGGCATGAAGACAATGTAATGGGGTTACAATGGGAAAAACAGAGAGAGCAAAAGAGTTGGGTAAGATTGTCATTCTATAGGCAATGGGGAGTCATGGAGTATTTAGGGGCAGGGCATGACATGTTCAAAGCTATGTGAAGGTTAAGCCAGCAGCAAAGAGTGGGTTGACCAAAGATGGGAGAGACAGAAGACCACATGGCCAGTTGAGAAGCTATTATGATATTTCAGATAAAATACAGAAAGTCCTTACTAGGATAGTGGAAATGAAAAGGAGTAGGAAGGTCAATCTGAAACCTGAATATGGAGTTAATAGAATGCAGCAAATGGCTAGAGCCAGGAGAGAAGTTTCACCCTGGCTTGCATCTGTAGTGTGAGTTTCTGAAAGAACAGGGTACCCTTCCAGACTAAAGATTTGTTTTCATTAAAATCAAACGGTTCTAGTGAATGTCTTTTCTGTTAAATAAGTTAACTGAAGCCCCTTGTGAGTCTAAAGTCTCCATCAGCCAAATCAACAGGCAGCTTTGGGGGATTCCTGGCCCCCTGCCTGTCTCTAGCAAGCTGTCATTGATGAGGCTAACAATGGTGCTGGTCTTGGCGACACTGGATATCTGTCCATGGAAACCAGGACTGAAACCAACAGGCCTGTTAACTTCCAATATACTTCATTATTAATCACATTGGGCTTTAATATTTGCTAAACTCATTTGAATGCAGTTTCATAAATAATGCCAAAGAGCCTGCAAGAAAGGGTGTGTGCATATGTGTGGTCACTAGGGGATAAAGTCCCAGCTCCTCAGTGTGGAGGACAAGGGACCCCTCAGGCCAGCACAAGAATGACAGCGTAAGCAATGAGAGTTCCAAGGGGAGGGAAGTGGTGCCATATTCTGGTCACCAGTGAGGTCTTGGTCACCAGGAAAGCATTTTTCCAGGGCTAGATTTTACTATCCTGGGTTTTAATCTTACTAAAGAAAATGGCTTTTCTGCACACAGGTCCATACAATCTGGGGCCTTGCTACTGGCCTGGTGTCATTTCCTGCCATCAGCCCATGAACACTCTAAATTCTGTCCCTGGGGAATTGAGCCTCAGAACTTGATATGCTGGCTCAGCGTCTCCACGCCTTGCATCTGTTGCTTCCTCTACCTGGAATGACCTCCCTTCCTCTGTTGCCTCAGAGGCCAGTGCCAACATTACCTTCTTAATACCCTACAGGGCCCCAAGCATGATCTTCAACGGTTACGCAGCACATACACCTAGGCTGTTATTAATTGTCACTGTTTCCTTATCTGCAGACAGCCTTTCCTCAGGGCTGGGGCCACCCGTTATTCATCTCTGGATCTCTGGCCCAGCCCAGAGATTGTACAGAGAAGGAAGGAAGGCAGCACATAATATTGCATGAAGAAATAAAATCTTTGAATTGGCTAATGTTCATCAACAGGTAGTAAGCTAGCATTTCACATGATGGATTTTCCTTCTCTTGACATACCTGTTCTAACATTTACAAACCCATGGCTCTTCTTATTAGAGGCTGACCTAGTTGACACATTCCCTGGCCTTCATCCAGCCCTTCTGCTCACTTAGATTCCTATGTGTGTTCTGATTCAGCCCTTTTGTTGGTAGGAAAAAGAAGCCACTCAAAGGAGATTTTAAAAAAAAGTTATTTTAAGGACATGGCTATTTTACAGCATCCAAGGGCAGGAAACAAATGAAAGCTGGCTCCCTGTGAACTAGAACCAGGCACTGGGAAGCTGTCTGTTTGCCCTTCGTCAGGTGTTTACTGAGTGATCATTGTACCTGGTGCTGTTCTAGAAGCTGAGTTGTCAGTGTGAAAAAAGACAGGCAAGTCCCCTAGGACTCACATTCTAGAGGGTGTGATCGCAGACAAGGGCAATACACATATGAGCATCATGACAGTGTCAGAAGATGGTAAATATTTTGAAAACGATAAAAGAGGGCAATGTGATAATGAGAAACTAAGTGCTATTTCAGGTTGGGTTGTCAGGAAAGTTCTCTTTGAGTAGGTGACATTTGAGTGGAAAGCTGAGAGCTGAGAGGCACAAGGGGGACAGTCTTGTGAGAAGCTGAGAGGAAAAGCATTCCAGGCTAGGGAAGGAACAGAAGGGCAGAGGGCCCAGAAAGGAATGTATGTGATGAGTTCCAAGACCAGAAAGAAAGAAAGGCTGCCCTTTGGGACTCATAGGAGCCACAAAGCTGTTGTCTCTGTTTCTCTCTCTCTCTCTCTTTATTTTATTTTATTTTTTTGAGACAGAGTTTCACCCTTGTTGCCCAGGCTGGAGTACAATGGCACGATCTTAGTACACTGCAACTTCCGCCTCCTGGGTTCAAGTGATTCTCCTGCCTCAGACTCCCGAGTAGCTGGGATTACAGGCATGTGCCACCACACTCGGCTAATTTTTGTATTTTTAGTAGAGAGGGGGTTTCACCATGTTGGTCAGGCTGGTCTCGAACTCCTGACCTCAGGTGATCCACCCACCTCGGCCTCTCTGTTTCTCTCTTTGCAGTTGCTTATCTTCCCCCTTCCCAGGGATCAGTATGGCAGTTAGTCTTACTCGTGTATCATGACATCTCAGCTATATCTACTTCTACCAACTGATCCCAGTCTCTTCTTTCAGGAATGATCATCAAATTGGCTCAGCCTTTCTCCCATAACAAAGAATCCTTCATGGAAGTCCAGAAACCTGCGAAGGATTCTTGGCGCTTTCCTCTCCCTTATGTCCTGGAGGAAGCCCCTTACCAAGTCCTCTCTGTTCTTCCTCCAAAATGCTTCTTTAGTGTTTTACCTCTCTCCATCTCCACCGCTACCCACCTTGGCCCCTGTCCCATCCACTATTGTCTCCTACCTAACCTCCTGAACTATTCTGCTCATGGGTCTCCTTGTCTTCATCTTGCTCCCCACAAATCCACTCTTCACAAAATAGAGTGGTCTTTAAACCATTAATCAGGGGGAAGGTCGCATTCAAGGTGGTGGTGCATTTTTGGGGTGGATTTCATAGACTCTACCTCCTTGTTGGGAAATCTGATACATCTCCAGGGAAATAGAAATGAGGTGTCTCTGATGGGAGGGTTTGGTTTTGTGAATGGTATGGAGGCAGAGGCCACCCCTTGAGCCTATTGTTTTGGGCCTGTCAGTTTGCTTTGGTTAATGTGGCCTTAATCTCGTGCCATTTCTAATAACTTGCTTTTCCTCTCCCTCAGCCTCCCTACTTCCTTTGCTGACTGCTTATCTGTTATTGGCCATTGACTAATATTGTGTTGATCTGGTTCTGCTCACTAGAATAGGTTCTTCCTAGGAGCCACATCTACAAATGTTAAAATCTTCCCTGAGCTCCCTGTCAAGGGTTACTTGATTTAGCAAATAATAATACAGGATGCCCAGTTAGATTTGAATTTCAGATAAACACAAAGAATAGATGGTTTAGTGTCCTTATGTTCCAAATATTGCATGAATTTTCTTTCATCTGGCAACTCTACTCTCCCCCTTTCTAGATCCACCCCACCCCAGTGAGCAGAGCTTGTTCCAGATTTTCACTCTGGCCTAATCTGCCACATCTGGCTGCAGTTAACAAGCCTGTGTCTGGGTATTTCCTGTGATCTGTACCTATCCAGCAAAGCAAGGTACACTCTCAGCTGGGCGGCCAGGTGTCAGTGGAAAATGCTGTGTTGCATCTTTCCCTTGACACATTGAGTACCTCATCCATGAAGAGCCTGTCTGGTCACAACACCCTTGGCTTGCCTTTGATGGTGTAGACTTCTTCATTTATAATGTTCAAAAGATCTAGTCACAAAGAGGGCCTTTAAAATAGTTTTACTGTTATAACGATGTGTACCATATACAAGTTTCCTTTGATAACGCTTCTAGTCTCTCACTCCAATAGTATTGCAACATTAGTCTCAAAGAGCCTTTGATCAATGAACTTTACTGAACGATCTAATTCTTTCCTGGAGATAAGAGCAGACCTCACCACCTTCATTTTATAGATGGGGAAACTAGAAACAAATCATTTCCATTCTGCTAAGAGCTAATTTGCAGCTGTGTCAGAGATCAGTAAGTGAGTAAACAGATAATGAAATTTAAAACAGATACTATTGGAACTAGTTCATATTCTGACACATTTTTGCCACTGAGATGAGATAAGCTGTGAGTATGGGCAAGGTGGGATGTGGAGGGGCCGTGAAAAGAGATGTCTCTACTTAATATTCCAAGAAAAGGAAATGATATCTTTACGCTAACTCTCTGAATACATTTTTCAAGATAGCCAAAAGTTAATTTATTTAAAACAAAATTTACTTAAAATCAAGTTAAAGTACATAAAAAGTTTACTTTAATCTTATCTTATCAATATCAAATTATACTTTCAGTTGAGATGTTATGTTGGATCTCTCTGTAGAGAGCTCTTGGCAGAGAACTGCAATGTATTAGTTGCTTTCTTTTCTTTTGCTAAAATTCGATGACCTACAGTTTTTTAACTCTGTGTTTCCATGCCGTTTTCCCCATTGTTAATAACACATATATATTTTTAAATGACCTATACAATAAACACAAGGGCATAAGAAATGATGAATAAGACAGTGCTTCTCAATCCCATTTACTTTTGGCTATATTTTCCAAGATTTTCAGAGGATACACTTCTTTAATCAGTGGCAACTACTGATGTGCCAGATAGCTTGGTGGTTAAATGTATCACCACTATCAATTATTGACAAAATTTTTCACAATACTTGGTTTAGTAGCAAGGATATTTCAAAATTTATCTTATCTTTGTGGAATGGATTGAAGAGAGAAGATAGCCTCCTTCACTTCTATAAGCAATTATGGGACTGTTTGGCATTGATAAGAAAGCTGGGTGTCCTTTAATTTCTTTATTGCTAAAGCCAGTAGGGTAGACCATAGTCTTTGTAAACCAAGGCATCATACACAGAACTAATTTCAAGTTGGGTAGAATTCTTGTCATTTGGCTGAATCTTTAATTTCTCGAAGAGATTCACTATGATTAAGGAATTGAGAAGGGTAATTGGGCACCCCTTGGAGCCTTTGAAACAAATTTGATTTAAACTCCCCACTATGGACACAGGTTGTTGAATTCAAGGGATCAACATATCTCCTTGGAACAAGGATGTTCAAACCACTTAGGAGCAGTGTATAAAAAAGTACATTTTCTCTACTTACAGGCATATCTTAGTCAATATTTGCCTTTTAGAGCAGATGTGCCCAGTGCCTTAAAGGGGGGCCATTGGGAAGACAGGAAATTGTGAGTTCTGGGTTTCTGGCTTCTATAGACTCAGCTGAGATGTATTTTCTTTTTCAACCCTTCTAAATGGCTGGGCCTGGGATTTTCCCAGTCAAATTCAAAAGCTAGCCATGAAGAAAACTAATTTTAAGACATAAACAAGTATTTTAACATAACATCTAAGACATAAACAAGTATTTTTAAATGTGTCTTGAATGTATTCGTATCACCTCATTAAACAATGTCAGAACATGGCCAGAAGCCAGGAGTTGAAGGAGCCGTTGCTTAATGAGATAGTAATGAGCAAACATCGAAGCTTGCATTTTCCTTCTGCTTGTTCCAAAATGCATGACTTAGCGGGATAAGATATTTGAGCTCCAGCTCTTAAATAATTTTAAGATATTTCTTAGGATAGTTGCTTTTCCTTTTAGTGTTTGATTGTGTCAAGAAGTAAAGGTTAAGAAATGTTATTTTCCCCTTTATTGAAGCCGTAGGGTGTAGTGGTTAGTAGAGTAGTAATTCTGCTACTAAATAACTGTGTGACCTTGGACACAGTGTGCAATAAATGCCAGTTATGATTATGACGTATAATTGAGGAAAAAATAAGGATTTGAATAGACAAATTTCAAGTTAGGGAATAGGAAAATTTTTATACAAATGCTTTAGTAGGGATGTATTATTTACTTTAAATATTAGAAATTTGACTACAATAAATTGACTTTAAACCACTTGATAACATTTGCTGCATTTTGTTAAACCAAAAAAATTTAATATTTATCAAAATGAAATTATTATAGGTGCTGATCTTGTTATTGAAATTTCTGGTTTATTTTACTAACTTGAATCAAAATATCTCTTTAATTTTGATAACTTTATAGTCAGTTCAAGGGTAAAAAGAATGAACTTTTGATGACTCAGTTACAGTTCCAATCAGACCATTTAAAGGAAAATGAGAGATTTATCTCTATATATAGATGAAAGATTTATATATACATATATAGACTAACTTGAATTGAAGGTTAGTAGAGTAAGTGAGAGAGCTGGCCAGGCACAGTGGCTCACGCCTGTAATCCCAGCACTTTGGGAGGCCGAGGTGGGCAGATCATGAGGTCAGGAGATTGAGACCATCCTGGCTAACATGGTGAAATCCCATTTCTACTAAAAATACAAAAAATTAGCCGGACGTGGTGGTGGGCGCCTGTAGTCCCAGCTACTCGGGAGGCTGAGGCAGGAGAATGGCGTGAACTTGGGAGGAGGAGCTTGCAGTGAGTGGAGATTGTGCCACTGCACTCCAGCCTGGGCAACAGAGTGAGACTCCGTCTCAAAAAAAAAAAAAAAGTGAGAGAACCAACAAAGTATAATAATAAAAGTAATAATAGTTAACATTTATTCAGCATTGTAGACAATCAAGCATCTAATTTTTACAACTCAAGGAGGTAAGTATTATTATAATCCCTATTTTATAGGTAAGGAAACTGAGGAACAGATGTATTAAATTGCTTGCTGAGGTCATGTAGTTGATAAACAGAGCTGAGATTCAGGTCCAGGTAATCTGACTTTAGTGTCTGTGCTAAAATCTTTCTAAAATATAAAAGCATAAGCTAATGCTTGCATATAATAGGATTCTAATAAGTTGAAATTATTTAACAGAAATTGCCATACTGTGGCATCTTTATGAGTTGGGGAGCATTAATAAGGTAATTACATTTTAACTAAAAGTTAAGAAGAATAGCTAACTTTAGATTTCTTAATGATATTTTGCTATAAACACTAATTCTAAAACAGAGCTGTCCAAAATGTCACATATATAATTTATAATTTTCTAATAATCATGTTAAAAAAGTGGAAAGGAACAAAAGTTAATGATTTTAATAACATCTTTTATTTAACTCAATAAATTCAAAATATATTTTAACATGTAACCAATATAAACATTATTAATAAGATATTATTTTTTTAAAGTTATTGTTCCAAGTCTTTGAAATCTGGTGTGTATTTTGCACTTACTGAACATACCAATTCAGTAGCTAATTCATATGTGGCTAGCAGTTACTGAATTAGACTGTGCAGCTCTAGATCTTTTTAGGAAAGCAAATTCATTATTTTAACCTCATTTCAAAAATGGTGAGAATAAGAAAGACTAGTCATGTATCCACACATTAATTTTTAAGCTTTAGTATCTTCAGTTTCAGTTTAGCTAAACAGACTAAAAGCTGCCACTTAACCTATTCAAATGATATCCCCTGGTAAGTAAGGTGGCACATTTTAAGATGGTTTCCTGACAAGTCTTTTAATTTTCTCCAAGAGGCAGAATGGAAGCAGACCTTAAGATAAAGCTAAACCTCTTTTGGAAAAATGAATGTCTGGAAGAATGTCTCACAGAATAACGCAGGACCAGGTCACTAAGCAATGCTCTAAGTGGGGACACAACGTGGACTTTTCCAAGCCTTCAGCTGAGGGCAGGGATGGCCAAGTCAATGGTCCCTCCCTGTTCTGTATTCAGTTTTTGATCAGGCAGTAATGTGCATGCAGGTCAACAAACATTTATTAAAGCTTTTTGTTTTTGCTTCTTCATTGATAAATTACTAATAAATGCTCATTTGAAAAAGCCAAACAAACCAAATATGTGTACTAAATTGTACATCGTAAGAGGTAACTGTCCCTTCAATTTTTTTTGTAGTTAACAGGTTACCACTTCTAGCAATTAGGTAGGCATTCTTATAGACCTTTATCCCTATGTTTTTGTTCTGTTCCTATATATCCAGTTTTTTTGTACAGAATGGGATCACCCACACATACGGTTCTGAGCCCCCCTTTTCCATTTAATAAGAAATCAATATCTATGAATTTTATATATTTTATTCTTATTAATGGATGCATAGTATTACATGGTATGAAGTGCCACATTATTTAACCATATCACTATTGATGGGCATATAAGTTGTTTCAAACATTTACTATTACAAAACTTCTGCAATGCATATCCTTTTATATCTATCATTACACATTTGTGTGTTTCTGTATGACAGATCTCTAGAATTGAGATAGCTGGGAGAAATGTATGTGCATTTTGAATTCTGGCAGGTATTGCCAAATGCTTAATGGCCTGCCAAAAAGACCTTGTCTTTTGACTTCATCTGGAATATTATTGACTTCATTCAGAATATTCCCATTACAAGAAAGTGGCCAGTCTCTCCGAGGAACAAACTGTTTTCCTTTTCCACCATGAAATAGATCTTATCTTTTCATTAGTTAATATAGGTGTACCTTCAAATGGCAATAACATTGTTCTGCTTTGTGGCTTCTCAAGTAGTAAACCCAGAAAACATCAGCTACCGTGGATTTTATTATAAATCATTGACATTCCTTTGGTGATTCACAAATGCCAAAAAATAAATGTCATGTTCCCCAGGGTTTGAAGAAAGACACTGTAGCTTTTGGATTCAGCAACGGATCTTTCAAGAAAACAGTATGGAGGGATGACTCACTCCCCCCATGGAGGCTGCCCTCTAGTTCGTCCTTTAGAGGAAGCATGACCAAGGGTCTGCTGGTACTTTTCTCTCCCTCTCTAAGAATTTCCTCAGGAGAGGAAAAAGTTAGCTTTCTTTTCTCTGCTCCTGAGTGCCATGGCCTGCAGTACGTGACCAGTCCTTGGCACAGAGTCACTCAGGGCTCATGGTAGATGCTTAGCGGTCACAGCCAGTAGCTGCGCAGTGTGGCAGCAGCTGAGATCCATACTGCAGCCTGAAAGTTGTGTTTCAGCTTCTGAGGTTACAAGTGTATCCAGTGTTTACATCAGAGATAAAGCCCCCTTTCCCCTCTCTCCTACGGGAGCCCTCAACAAGACAGATACACGGGTTGGGTGGAGTGAGACCACATCCAGCAGAGGCAAAGCTTGCTAAAAGAGAGAGGAGGAGGAGGGGGAGAGGGAGGAGGCGGCACGGCGTCCCTTGGCAGCTCCGTGCATGCTGCGGCAGTTGCAACAGGAGAACCGAGTACCAGTTGCTCAACACTTTATCACTTTGCATTGCTCTTTCTCCTCCCTTAAGTGAATTTCCATTTTGAGGGTACAGCTCCACAGGAGAAAGGTGTGGTGGTGGTAGTGGTGGAGGGTGTCTGTGGGGGGGATGGTGGTGCGACGGGAGTTGGAATGTCCAGTGTGGGGAAGCAAAGGAGTGCCTACTAGGATGCGAATACCACTTGGCCCTGGGCTCGCTCCGCTTTAGCCTTCCCCTCTCGCTGGGGAGAAACAGGCGGTTTGTGAGGGAGACTGAGAGAGGGGCGTGTTTGTGGTGGTGGCGGCCCATCGGGGGTCCTTGTCCTCTCCGAATACCCGGACTGCTGAGGGGAAGGGCCGGGGGGGCCCCGGCGGTTGCCATGGTGACGCAGGGTCGGCGGCTCAGCGCCGTAGAGACAAAGCCGCCCGCCCGCCAGCCCGCTAGCTCCTCGCGCGAGCTCCTCCTCCACGGGAACCTCCCTCCCCTCCCAGGCGCCGCCGCAGCCGGAGCGGCTCCCGGGCCCTGGGCCGCCGCCGGCCAGGTAAGGCGATCGCGCCCGCGGCCGGGGAGGGGTCGGCGGGACGCCGGGCCTCCCCAACGCTGGGGCAGCAGCCAGCCCCGCAGTCCTGGACGGCGCCGGGCCGCCCAAGCGCGCCGAGGAGAGGGGGCGGCAAACTTCGGGCCGAGCGGCGCCGGGGCCCGCGCGCGGAGTCTCCCTCCGGGCACCACGGGGGCCGCCGTCCTGGCACCAACTTGAGGGGCTGTGCGGCGGAGGGCGGCTGCGGAGCGCCCGCGCGGGCTGCACCTGCTCAGGGAGCTGCCCCTCTGTTGTTGTTGTTATTTTCCTTCTTGGCGTGCCATCGAGGCTTTTGGGGGAAAAAAAGGTATGAAAGTATTTACCTTTGGACTTTCATGTTTCATGGCATTCTCTTTGAGGAGGGGTTGGGAGGGTAGTAAGAGGGACAAGCGAAAGATTTTTACGAATCTCTGAAAAGTGAGCCCATTTTTATGCCTGTGGCTGAAGCATTTTGAGGAGGCTTCTGAAGTTCGTTTGGATATTGAATCGAAAGACCTTTTTTTCTTTGGAAGGTGCAGTTGCACCTATAACTGGATGGTAAGGGTAGCCCGGCTTTCCCCGACTAGCAAGACCAGAATGTAGAGCAGTACCGATACTTTGTCAAGGAGATACTTGGCACCGAGGTCATTGCTTTTGTTTCTAGAAGGTATTGTGTTCATGCTGTAAGGAACTGGAAAGTGCCTTTTGTTTTTATGTGTAGGGAGGCAATCCAAAGCACCTCTGGAGGCAGGTAGCTGGGCGGTGTTTGCATCGGTGTTTATGAGTGGGATGATGAGGACCACGATGCGGTTGCCACTGGGGCACTGGATAGGTTATAGGTACCTTTCTCAGTGGCCCCAACCCTTGCAATCATTTCGTGATAGTTTGTTGCAGACGCGAAGCACAGATTTAAATTGTGACTGTGAAGACTTTTTTTTTTGGTACTTAGACATCATCTTACATGTAGTAATATGAAAGAAAACAGATACATTTTCAGAAATACAGTTGATCAATTCAGAAGGAAATTGTATATATGTTAATAAGATTTGTTTTAAATCATATTTAAACAATATGAGATGTCATATTGATAACTGGAAAATAATCTAACATATAAAATTGTATATCCAACTTAGTAAAATAATGTATAAGTTGGAATAGGTCATTTAAAGAACTATATGGAATGCAAGAAATTATATTTTTGCTAGAGAGTAATTAATGAAAACAGTACCACTGATCATTTTGAATTGCAGTTAAGTTGATTGGAATTCTGCATATTACAGCTACTTGAGGTGTCAGGCAAAGAGTGATTATTTAATATTCCTCTTCCCTCTTTTGGGATTTCAACACCTGTTAGCCTGCTGATTACTAGGTTTCTCAGTCTGTTCATATTTGCCAGCAACTTCAAGTAATGCCACTTCATTAGAAGATTGTATTGGAAACTAAAGGATTGAAGTTGCAATTAACAGTTTGCAGGTTATTTCACAATTGGGCTTGTTTTTAAACTGAATTTTACCTGTGGAAGATTCACAGATGCTCTGCTAAATACTCTTTCATGACGGTAATAAAATCGTACATTGATTAAAACGAAGTAGATCTGTTTTGAGAAGATAAACGGGAGAGAAAAGTATTTTCTCACTTAAGCATGAACAGCAAATAGGATATTGAAGCCTAGGCACATTATATAGACAGAGAATGTAGTTTTATGTTTTGTACTAAAAATAAATTATTTTGTGTGTTTGTGTGTGTGTGTGTGTTTTTTTTTTTTTCCTGAGGGACCAACAGAACAGCTTTATTCAGATCTTTGTTAGCAAAACCAGTATTCAAGTTCAAGGACTTGGTCCGTGCTTTCTGCCAGATGAAACCCACACTGTGAGTTCTAGCCTAAACATTTATGTTGTGGCCCTTAATCTGAGTGCTGAAGAACGGAGATATCCATGGTGAATTTAGCACAGTAAGGACCGGTGCTTTGCCTTTGCTGCTAGCTCACACGGGCACAACATTCAATATAGTTTGGCTTCTTCAGAGCTGCATCATTTTCTGCCAAAAAATAAAGTCGGTATACAGAAATCAACAATCATGTATTGCATGCACTGCTTGGTTGTAGTGGCTTATTAATAAGAGCTCCGAAGCATGAAATGAAGCTTGTGTCAGTGCAGTGGAAAACAATAATCTGGCATGTTTATATGTGTTACTAGTGTTCTGAGGTATGTGCATAACCAGATAATGAAAGAAAAAATACTATGATATCTGCAATATGTCCTTAGAAAATGCAAACAGCAATTGTGTTTTCTGTCCATGGTTTAGCCACCTGGTGGAAGCAGGCAACAGCATTGCATATCCCCAGGTGTAAAATACTAGTCATCACTCTTGCTGATTCACGGGAGTAGGAGTCTTTTCCTGCATTTTAGCTTACGGGTTTTAATTTTATGACGTAAAATTGGTCCTAATTTTTGGTATAAGCTGTAAAATATGGCCTGATAATTGTCACCATAGCTGTATTCTACCTGAAAGAATTCTGTAATTCAGTTTATGAAGCATATCCAAAGACAAAAAAAAGCCACAAATGTTCCTGTTTAAGTTAGGATTAACATTATGTTTGTGCCATTGAAAGTCAGTTGTTTGTAACCATATAAGCCTGCATAGGCAGCCTAAATAAAGCCACTGAAGCCTTTATTGACTGTTTCTGGGTCAACATTCTCTTGCAATTTCTAGTTGCACTGTGATAACATGATTACTGGTTGGTAATTTAGCATCTAGTGCAATGTGTTGTAGCATTTATAAAAGCACATTTGTGAAGGATGGTAGTTTTTAAATGATTTCTTCATTACCAAAACACTTAGATTTAGATTTGTGGCTGGGGAGAATAGTGTGGCCCTGAGACCTCAAGACAAAATGCTGTAAATATCAGGTATTGTTAACTGACCTGCTGTGCACAGTGGGTATTTGTCAGAACTACTGTGCTGAGAAAAGGCACAGGAGACACATGGTCATGGTGATAGGTTGTGGTGTTTAGTGACATGGATTATTAATAGTGATTGATAGAAGCTGAAAAACTTTTGTGGACGTGTGTTTCATTTTTCATGTTTTCAATTAAAATGGAGATAAGATGTCTTAAGCTGTTTGGTAAGCCACAAGTGCTTGGGGAAAATGTATACTTTTATACAGTATTGTACATAATTTAAGTGATATAAACATAGTTCAAGATAAACGATTGTTTTCCTGATGTGCCAATTTTTTGTAGCAGTTATGGAGTATGGTTTTGGACATCAGTCATCAAATGTTTATCAAATGCTTCCTTCTATATATTCTATGTTGCTTGATGAAAGTCAACCAACCTCTTATAGTTGGGGACTTACTTGTTTCTCAGCTATTAGGATTATTTATTTTATATGTAATTCTTAATGTATGATACCCAAATACTCTCCTTTGTTTTCAGCCTTCCTTTTTTCAAAAGTTACCAGTTAATTTTGTAATGTTTTTTTAAAAAGTTTTATATTTCCAGAGCTTATTTTAAAAATGATTTGGTTAATTTGTAATTTGATCAGAAAATAGTGGGCATAAAAAACACATTATAATCTTTATATTTTGCATTTTGAGTATTTATAGACATGGTTTGTTGGATAGTAGAATCTGGGATCCTGTTAGGTGATTGCTTATTTCCATACATGTTTTGAACTTGATCCTTGCTTCTGTATCTTATAATCGGTTGAAGTGAAAACCAAAGAACTAGGAGGTAGAGGCAGCAGTGAGTTAAAAGGTGTTAAAGAGATCAATACATACTGAGAGTCTGCTGGCATAGTGGCCAAAGGTGGTGCAGGGGTGGGGGTGCGGTGGTGGTGGTTGGGAGGGCAGGGTCAGGGAGTCTGGGGCAGGAAGCTGGGGGACAGTGATGGCTCTAATAATCTCTTTTAACACTTTATGGTCCAGACTCTAAAGCAGATTACCTGAGGTCTTTACCTAGTGACCATTTCCAGAGGCTGGCTAGTCCTACAAAAGAGTTGCTGGTGCTGGTCCTGGTCACTTGCCTCCATTTTTCCTCCCAATTAACTAAAACGTGACTCTCTTGAATTGTGGTTTAAGTGCACTTTAAGCATTGTAAACCACAAATTAAGGCCCAATAATAAAATTTTTCCACATGAGAAATGTTATCTAATTGGTCAGGTACATGATTTAGATAATCAAGATGGCAATGGAACTATAAAATAAAACTGTGTGTTTGGCCAACATATTGTATTTGAGTGAGAAGTTGTGTTTCTGATCAGTCTGTTGTGAATCATCTTCCCTCTTCTATAGCTATAGTCATTCAAGGCAGACATGGTGTTTTACATAATTTGATCACCATGTGATGTGTTGGGCACAGTTATACTGAAGAATTGTTGTTTATTCAAACTCTTGAATTTTAAATCTACAATAAAAGGTTTCTGTGTGGTCTTCTCTGGCCTTTTTTCTTCCTGTATATTGGTTTACTGAGAACTTGTTTAGTCTGATTGCAGTAATTTTGACTTCCAGCTCTTCTCTGTCAATCAAACCTTTATGAATTCTTCCCTATGGGCCAGACACTTTTCTAAGCACTTCAGAAATATCAACTCATTTAATCCTCACAACAACCCTTTGAAGTAGGTACTATTATCCCTTTTTTATGAGTGAGGAAACTAATATGATCACTTTCTGTTACGTTAACCCAAAGGTACACAAAATATACCAGAATCCTGGCTTTATGTCAAGGAATGCAGCAAGCTTTATTTTCTGTTTACTGATATCTACTAAGTGTAGAAATAATGACACTAATTATTATGCTTGGGCTTTCCTCCCCCATCTTATTTTCTCTTTTTGCTAAAAAGAAACAAAACCTAAAGTCATAAAACAAGAAGCATTTCTTCATAGCATATTGTGACATGTACCAGTATTCTTTTCTGTACATAGAAACTAGAATAATTTATGAAAAAGATGTTTTCCAAAGGTAGTTGTTCCTTAATTTATTATTCGTATTCATATATTAAAAGAATATAGTCAGCCTTGCATATCTGCAGGTTCCACATCTGCAGATTCTATCAATTATGGATTGGAAATATTTGGAAAAATATTTGGAAAATATTCCAAAAAATAATTCAAATAAGAAACCCAGTCTAAGAACTATTTACATGGTATTTACATTGTATTAGGTATTATAAGCAATCTACAGATGATTTAAAGTACATGGCAGGATGTACATAGGTTATATGCAAATACTATGCCATGTTATACCAGGGACTTGAGCATCCTCAGATTTTGGTATCCTTGGGGGTCCTGGAGCCAGCCCCCCTGCAGATATTGAGGGGTGACTACATATTTTCTGTGGTATTGGCCTTGCTATATACATGTAAATCTATCTTGGAAATGTTGATCCATTTGCATTGCCTCACGGGGTTATCCTCAACCTGGGCTCACCTGCTCTTTCCTAGGCTACCTCTTACATGTGCTAAGGACTAAGTGATACTCCCTTCTCACTCCCTCCCAGTAGAACTCTGCATGTCCCTCCTCTGAAATAACACATGTTCTTACTGTCTCCATAGAAGAATGATTAAGCATTTTAATTTCAGGAGCTTATTTAAGCTATGTGAAAAGTAGGACTAAATAAGAGACAGGTGTTCATAAAAGCAAGTGAGTAAACATAGTTCTGTAGGTTCTTTTAATAGTAAATATTGTAATAACTACCATTTATTAAGCATTTACTTGGTGCCAGGTACGCTATTAAGTATTCCACACAAGCTGTCTCTTTTGATTGTCACCATAATTCTTGTTTCCTCATCTATAAAAGGCTAATAAATAGCTTATCCAAGATTGTACAGAGTTGGTAGATTTAAAAACATGATTTGTGTGGATAAACCACAATCTGAATTTGACTATGATTGCTTTGTTAATTACCAGCAGACAAAAAATGCCTTTCTGCTGCAGTGAAGATGCTTTTGGGATTATGTTACTTTGGAAAGAGTGGCAGTTGAGGACTGCCTGGTGGAGCAAATTCAGAGTGGCAGGTATGGCTGGCTGAGAAGGAGGAGGTAGTTCTCAGGAGGTAGCCAAGAAAAAGACATCGTTGTTCACAGTTATTGCTGCAGACCTCAGATGGGCTTTTAGAGTAGAAAGAGACAGAGAACCCCTATCCTCAAGTCTATTTTTGGAACAAAAACCAAAATTAAATGGAGTTATTTTCTGTCTCCTGAATTTGTGTTTTGTTTTATACTGTGTTCTGGATTGGAAATGAACAAGGACAAGGGCTACATGAGTGGTATAGGATGAAATGAAATGAAAAGTAACTCAATAAATGTCATATCCCCCAGGCTAAATTCCCTCAGGGTCAGAGCAACATGCTTTTTGCTACAGTGGGAGATTTCCTTGTTTTAGGATGCCGAAGGTCTGGAGTGTGGTATCAGGGATGAAGTTAGAAGTTTGGAAAGATGTTTTCATTTGGGTCATTCTCCTGCATGACATGGGGTTTTCCTGGAATTCCTGGTGCATACTTTCCTTGATAACTCCTGGGGGGGAAAAAGGAATGAGACTTAGAATCTGAATAGTAAGGAATAAACCCACTTTTATGATCATCTAATTATATAGATCACTGTGACCTTTTTTTCTCTTTTTTTTTTAATGTTCAAGGCCAGTATGAGAAGCCAGACAGCCTGGATTTGAATACTGCCTCTGCCACCTTTTAGTGATACGACCTTGAGGTAGCTGCTTAATCTCTCTGTGCCTTCATTTCGTTACTGCAATGGACAGCATGCTCATGTCCCCTCCAAATTCATATGTTGAAATTCTAACTCCCAAGGTGATGGTATTAGGAGGTAGGGCCTTTGGGAGGTGATTAGGCCATGAGGGTGGAGCCCTCATAAATAGTATTAGTGCCCTTATAAAAGAGACCCCAGAGAGGTCATTGGCCCCTTCTGCCATGTGAGAACACGGTGATAAGGCACCATCTGTGAACCAATAAGTGGTCTTTGACCAGATACCTAATCTGCCAGCACCTTAATCTTGGACTTCCCAGTTCCCAGAACAGTGATGAAGAAATTTCTGTTGTTTATAAGCCATTCAGCATATGGTATTTTGTTAGAGCAATCTGAGCAGACTAAGACAATTACCTGTAAAGTGGAGACAATAATATTACTTCACTTGGTGATTGTGAGGATTAAATGAATTAACATTTCTAATGTACTTAATTATTAGTTATTAAGGGTAAGTTTTGTGTGGAGAAAGGAAAATTAATATTTATTTCAGGTAGAAACAAAAATCTAATTTTCTTTAGGCCTTTAAGTTCAACTTGCATATGTTAATACTCTGTTTATATATCTGGTAAATATGAGCAATCATCTTCACTTTTTCTTTGACTAAACTTTAATTCAAATTGAACAGATTGGATTTCTTAAATTATCAGTCTCATTTATGAACTTAGTTAAATTTCAAACCTTAAATATTTTAAATCGCATGTTACTTTAATGTATTTATTTTTCTATTTAGATAAATCATATGTTTATTGGGCAAATTTATGACTCAAGTAAGTAAAACCTTACCAAATACTTAGGTTAAGTTCCTTTGAATATTTTGTCACTTACAAAATTAATATTGTATAGACATAGTCAAATACTCCTAAACATTTCAATCAAAATAAATCATATCTGAAATCTATTACACATTTTGAACTAGAATCACAAAGCTCATCTGTCAGTTTGATGTCAGATTCTTTTAAACGTTAAAAACATGACAATTGTGTACAGGCTGTTCCAATTAATATAAGACATATTTCTAAACTTTTCTAAAAAGTAATAATACAAGTCTGATTTTCCTCATCTCTATATTTAATTCTAAACCTTCTCTGGATTGGAGTTAGTTACCCACTAGAAGGAAGTTTATAATCTCAGATAAACTGAAGGTACCATTCTAGGTGAACTTTAGTTATCTTACCATCCCATATTGATTTGAAATTGCTGTCCGAGCATTTTTTAATTAAAATATGGTTGCTTATTGATCACCCATTTAAGGCTTGAATGCTGCATCTGGATGGCACACATTCTGGAGAATTCTTCCTATGACACAGATGGACAGGCTTGGCCCTCCTGTGTAGTCATCATAACAATAGGAGACTCCAAACCCTTCTTTTCAGGTAGTATTGATTTTTTAATCCTTAGACCAGTGCTGTCCAATATGTACTTTTAAGTTATGGGTTATATTAAAAAGTAAGAATTGGCCAGGTGCGTGTCTCACACCTGGAGGCCGAAGCAGGAAGATCACTTGAGGCCAGGAGTTCAAGACCAGCTTGGGCAACATAGTGAGATCCCACCTCTACAAAAAATGCAAAAATTAGCTGGGCATGGTGGTACGCACGTGTAGTCCCAGCTGCTCCAAAGGCTGAGGTAGGATGAGGCAGGAGGATGCTTGAGCTCAGGAGTTCAGGTTTCCATGAGCCATGATTATTCCACTGCACTCCAGTATGGAGTGAGACTGTGCCCCTTAAAAAAAAAGAAAAAGTAAAAAGTAATTATTTTTAGTAGTAGATTTTATTTAACCTAATATATCAAAATTACCATAATTTCAACATGTAATCAATATAAAAATTATTAATGAGATTTTAAACATTTTCATTTTGCACAAACTATTTCGAATCTGATATGCATTTTACACTTAGAGAACATCTCAATTTGGAGGATATATTTTCAGCAGTTAAAGTGAGGCCAGGCATGGTGGCTTATGCCTGTAATCCCAGCGCTTTGGAAGGCTGAGGTGGACAGGTCACCTGAGGTCGGTAGTTCGAGACCAACCTGGCCAATGTGGTGAAACCCCGTCTCCACTAAAAATACAAAAATTAGCTAGGCCTGGTGGCATGCGCCTGTAGTCCCAGCTACTCGGGAAGCTGAGGCAGGAGAATCGCTTGAACCTGGGAGGCAGTGGTTGCAGTGAGCCAAGATTGCACCACTGCACTCCAGCCTGGGCAACAGGGGAAGACTCGGTCTCAAAAACAGGAAAAAAAATTAAAAAAAAGAAATGTGGCCTTACCAAAAAAGTAATGTTGTATTTGCAGGAAAAGTATTTTTCATTGTTTCAGTTTCTAAATTTAAATTAATTGAAATTAAATATGATGTAGATTTCAGCTTCTTAGTTGCACCAGCCACATTTCAAGTGCTCAATAGCCAAACATGACTAGTGGCTGCCATGTTGAATAGTGTAGTCCTAGACTTGATTCAGAGTCACTCCTCACCCTGTCTCTTATTGTTATGGAGTCTCCTGTTGTTATGATGACTATACAGGAGGGCCAAGCCTGTCTATGTCAGCTTTAGGCCGTGCCCACCAGTGTTTGAGATATCTCCTTTCATTCTGTTGGATTCTTCATTTCCGTCGCTCACAGTTACGTTAGTTGTTTTAATGACATCTGCTGGGTTTGAAAGGCATTTTAATGTAATTTCATTAGATCCAAATATTCTATACCTTCGCCTATTTTTCTGAGTGACTTCTCCAACAATGTTTTTTTGATTTGTTTACAACAGTTGTAATAGTTCCAAAGGTGGTGCAGTGAGGTAAGCTTATGCCATCTCTGTTTTGTCATAGGTAGTTTGCCATTTAGATAGGATTATGAAGACTGAACTGTGATCCACGCATGAGCTCTTAATGCTGGCTGGCAGCTCCATTCCTTTTTTCTAGTTTGTTCATTATTCTCCTGTCCTGGACAAACAAAATCCAAATAAATAAACAAGAATATTAGCAGAGATAAATAAAATTGAGATAATTAATGCAAATGAGTGGATGAGTACCTTAGATTAAAGGGTAAGGTAACATTTAAATAGGGATTTGAGTGACGAGAAGATTTGATCAAGAGCAGAGCATTTCAGACAGAATCAGTGCAAAGGCCCTGAGGCAGAGAGAGAAGACAGGAGAGTCAGATGAAATGCGGTTAGAAAGAAAAGGGGTGGCCAGATTGCTCCAGACTTTGTTATTCAGTGTAAGGACTTGGGTTTTATTCTATGTGGAATAGGAAGCCATTCTAGGACTTTGTGTAGAGATGGTCTGGGAAAGATGGGAGTAATTTGGTTAACATTTTAGAAATATTCTTCCATGTAGAGAATGGATGTACATGGAAGATGCAAGGGGGCAAGATTGGTAGCAGGGAGACTTGTTAGGAGCCAATGTCAATAGTCCAGGTGAGAGATGGTGTATTTACCACAGTTCTAATTTTACATTTATTTATGTGATCGATTGATACCATCGTCACTAGACTGTAAGCTCCAACAGGGCAGAAACAATGTCTTTTTTTTTTCTTTTTGCCTAAAGTTGTAATCCCTGTGTTGTATTCCCAGATGTAGTCCCCGTATGTTGACTTAACTGTCAATTCAGCATTTTCCATATTTCACACACACAAGATATGTGTGTGTATCATGACCAAATAAATTATTGTAGCTGGCAGGAAAGTATTCCTAAAGTCAGAATATCAAGGCCTTTATTCATATATGCAGATTAGAGTTGGAAGTCCTTCACTCTGATTCTGACAGTGGAATGACTTACAAGCTACATATTAATAAGTAGAAGATGTTTTCACAGGAAGTCAGAACATTTGATGATCCAAAAAGATAGCACATTAGTTATAACCACAGGATGTCACTGAAATTGTTGAAATTGTTATGATCTCTTAATCATGATAATGTATGGATAGAAGTTACTCAGCAATGTATCTTACATTGAATACATACTACAAAAGATGTTTAAAAATAAGACATCTTACTATGATTCATTTGAGATAGACATCACTTATTATAATGGGGCATTAGAAATGGGCTATGCTATTGATACAGTTTGATGAGTGTATTAGTCCATTCTCACATTGCTATAAGGAACTACTTGAGAGTGGGTAATTTATGAAGAAAAGAGATTTAATTGACTCACAGTTCTGCAGGCTGTACAGGAAGCATGGTTGGGGAGGCCTCAGGAAACTTAACAATCATGGCACAAGGCCAAGGGAAAAGAGGCACATCTTACATGGCCAGAGCAGGAAGGAGGAAGAGAGATGGGAGAGGTGGCACACACTTTCAAAGAACCAGATCTCCTGAGAATTCTGTCGCGAGATAGCACTATGGGGATTGTGCTAAACCATTAGAAACTGCCCCTTGATCTAATCACCTACCACCAGGCCCCGCCTCCAACATTGGGAATTACAATTCAACATGAGATTTGGGTGGGGACACAGAGCCAAACCATATCAGTAAGGAACTAGCATCATAAAAAATTTAATGTTTTCCCTTTCCCTATCTGTACAGACAATGATGGAAGAGTTAGAAATCCTTAAAGAGCTTTATGTCAACAATTGGACACATAATTAGGAGAAGCTTAAAGCATTTTAGAACTCAGGATAATATCTCTACTGAGATTCAATTATTCTTTGGTCTGCAGTAAATTTACATGGTCGTGGTTGATTGGTCTATAAATATAAATTTTTCTTTCACAGGCAGTTTAAAAAGGGGAACATTTAGACAGCTCTTGTAAAAATCTCACATTGTAGAGTGGGAAATTTCTTAAGTAACACTGTGCTAGGCACTAATGACTCAAAGATGAACAAATCAGGTATAGCCCTACCCTCCTGAGGCTAACAGAAGAAATTACAGATAAGTGTCTGGTCATTACACAAGTGTGTGCCATGATGGGGCATATGTGTGATGCCTGTGGAGTCTGTAGGAGAGGCATCCAAGCAAGATTTGGGATTTGGGAATAATTGATGTCTATACTGGATGAAGGATGTCCCAGGAAAGCAGGCAAATATGGGACAGTTTGGGGTGGTAAGTGTGGGTAAAAGAGCTATAAAGAGGGAACAGGGCATCATAAAAGCTTAGAATCCATTTGAAATAATGTGGCTTCTTTTGGAGAGTAAAAAGAATTGGGGAGGGGGTGGAGTGAGGTCGAGGAGGAGAAAGGAGTAAGAGATGTGGCTGGTGAGGTAGACAGAGGCCAGATTAGGAAGACGTTAAAATATGTTGAGCAGGAGAGTAAATGATCAGATTTGAGTTTTAGAAAGTCTCTCATGGTGTTGCATATAGACTTTTCACAATCACATTACTTGTTTTGTGTTGTATGTATCTTGTATAGACATAGGAAGCATTACTTTTATTTTTAAATACATTTGTTATTGAAGGTTAACATACATATAGAAAAGTGCACGAATCGTAAGGATATATAGCTTTTATGCATTTTCAAGTGAGTCTCCTGTGTAACTACTACTCACATCAAAAAATAGAAGATTACTATTACCCCCAAATCCTTCCTTTGCCTTTTTCAGTTATTACCTGCCCCCAAAGGTGACCCATAGTCTGAATTCTAACACTGTTGATTAGTTTTGCCCAGTTTAGAACTTTATACAAATGGAATCAGGCAGTGTGTACTTTATGTGTGTGTGTATGATAGCTTTCACCAACTATTTGGGATATTCATCCTTGCTGCTGGATGTAGTAATAGTTTGTTTTTTGTCTCTCTCATTTTGGTATAGTATTTCATTGCTGCCTGTAGCACAATTTTTAAAATCATTTACTGTTCATAGACATTTGGGTTGTTCCCATTTCACCTATTACAAATAGTGCTGCTATAAACATTCTTATACATGTGTATGTGAGCATTTCTGTTGTGCATCTGTGTAGAAGTAGAAAGGTCATGGGTTATATGTATGATTTAGCTGTGATACTGCTATCAAACATTTGCCAAACAGTTGTCCAGGTGGTTATATCGGCGACATTCTCAACATCAGTGTATGAAAGTTCTAGTTGTTTCTCATTCTTGCTCATAGTTGGTATTGCCAGTCATAGTAGCAGATGAAAAATGATATCTCATTGTAGTTTTTATTTGTACTTTCCTAATAAGTGATATTGAGCATTTTTTCATGTTTTATTAGCCATTTGGATAGCCTCTTCCATGAAATGCCAGTTCAAATATTTTTGTCCATTAAAAAAGATTATCTTTTTCTTACTGTTTTTTTTTTTTTTTTTTTTTTTGAGACAGAGTTTCTGTCGTCGCCCAGGCTGGAGTGCAGTCTCCGCTCACTGCAAACTCCGCCTACCGGGTTCACGCCATTCTCCTGCCTCGGTCTCTGCGTAACTGGGACTACAGGCGCCCGCCACCATGCCTGGCTAATTTTTTGTATTTTTTTTTTTTTTTTTTTTTTTAGTAGAGACGGGGTTTCACCGTGATAGCCAGGATGGTCTCAATCTCCTGACCTCGTAATCTGCCAACCTCGCCCTCCCAAAGTGCTGGGATTACAGGCGTGAGCCACTGCGCCTGGCCTTTTTCTTATTGATTTTTATGGAGTTCTTTATATTTTCTAGATAGAAGTCCTTTGTGCAATGTATGTGTTACAGAATTCTTCCACACTGTAGCTTGCTTTTAACTCTTATAATTTTTCAATGAGAAGTGTTTAATTTTAATGAACTCATTTATACATCTTCTTTTAATGTTAGTGCTTTTTGTGTCTTCTTTAAGAATTTTTTGCCTGCTCCAATATCATGAAGATATTCTCCTATGCTACCAAGAAGTTTTATTGTTTTACTTTTCACATTTAGATCTATAACCCCTTTGAATTGATTTTTGTGTAGGGTGTGAGGTAAGGGTCAAAATGATTTTTATCTATGTAAATATCCTGTTGACCCAGCGTTATTTATTGAAAATATTATCTCTTCTCCATTAAATTGCAGTGGCATTCTTTTCATAAAAATAAGTAATCATATGCTTGTGAATCTCTGTCTGGATTCTGTATTTTGTCCTTATGATGTATTTGTCTAATAAAGTGTCTTACATAATCCCAGCACTTTGGGAGGCCGAGGTGGGTGGATCACCTGAGGTCAGGAGTTTGAGACCAGCCTGGCCAACATGGTGAAACCCCGTCTCTACTAAAAATACAAAAATAAGCCAGGTGTGGTGGTTCACGCCTGTAATCCCAGCTACTTGGGTGGCTGAGGCATGTGAATTGCTTGAACCCAGGAGGCAGAGGTTGTAGTGAGCCAAGATTGCACCACTGCACTCTAGCCTGGGCAACAAGAGCAAGACCCTGTCTCAAAAAAACAAAACCAAAAAGTGTTTTACATTGATGTAATCCTGATATCAGGTAGTATAAGTTCTTCAGTTTTGTTTTTTGTCTTGATTTTCTTTTAGCCCATTTTTAGTGTTTGGCGTTTACATACAAATTTTAGTATCATCCTGTCAGTTTCCACAAACAACCTGATAGATTTTGATTGGAATTGCATTGACTGTGTAGATCAGTTTGGGAGAGTTGACATTTTTATAATATTGAGTCTTCTAATCAATGAACACAATATAGCTCTCCATTTAATTATGTTGTCTTTAATTTCTCTAAGTAATGTTTTGAAGTTCTCTCTGTAGTATTGTACTTCTTTCATTAGATTTGTTCTTTTTGTTGTTATTGCAAATGCCATCTTTTCACCTTGTAATTTTTTGTTTCTTGTGTATATAAATACATTTTTGTTTTTATTTTTTTATTTTGTATTTATTTTTATTTTTTTATTTTTATTTTTTGAGACAGAGTCTCTCTCTGTTGCCCACACTGGAGTGCAGTGGCGCGATCTGGGCTCGCTGCAAGCCCTGCCTCCCAGGTTCATGCCATTCTCCTGCCTCAGCCTCCTGAGTAGCTGGGACTACAGGCGCCTGCCACCACGCCTGGCTAATTTTTTGTATTTTTAGTAGAGATGGGGTTTCACCTTGTTAGCCAGGATGATCTTGATCTCCTGACCTCGTGATCCACCCGCCTCAGCCTTCCAAAGTGCTGGGATTACAGGCGTGAGCCACTGTGCCCGGGCATAAATGCATTTTTGTATCTTGACCTTGATTCTAGGGATTTTGCTGCATTCACTTCTTAATCTTAATAACTTATTTGTAGAATGATTTGGATTTTCTGTGTACATCACTGTATGTGATGAATAAAGAGCTTTGTTTCTTTCTTGCCTGATTCTTGTATCTTACACTTTTTTTTATTGCCTCATTGCTCTATCTAGGACCTCAATTATAATTTTGAATAGAAATGGTGATAGCATGTACTTTGTCTTATTCCCAATTTCAGGGGGAAAGCATTCAATATTTAAAATATGGCTCTTGCTTACAAGTGTTGTTGAAACCTTTTTATCGATTAAGAAGATCTCTTATTTCTAATTAATAGATATTTTAATCATGAACATGTGTTGAGTTTTAGCAAATGATTTTCCGCATTTATCGAGATGATGATATGATTTGTTCCTCCTTTATTTTGTCAATATGGTAATCACATTTTAAAAAAATGTTAGAACAGTTTTGCATTTCTATAATAAATCCAACTGATGTGCTATTATTTTAGTGTTTTGTTGGACTCAATTTAGTGAAATTTTGTTTGAGAATTTGTCTATGTTTAGGAGAGAGATTGGTGTAAGTAGCTGAATAGTGCCTCCCTTTTCATTTTTGATATTTACAATCTGTGCCTTTTTTCCCCCCTTGATCAGTCTTGCCTGGGGTTTATCAAATTTATTATTTTATCAGTGAACTTATTTTGACTTTTTTTTGCTATTGTATGCTTATTTTCTAATTTATTCATTTCTGTTCATAGTTTGTTCTTTCCTAATATTTTTGGCTTTAGGTTTTCTGTTTTTTCTAACTTTGTGAAAATGCTACTTAGATTATTGATTTTCAACTTTTCTAACATATGCATTCGAAGCTCTGCATTTTCCTCAAGCATGGCTTTAATAGTATGCTCTTAAATTCTGTCACATTTTTTCTGCTCAAAATATTTAAAAATATCCATGTGTTTTTTCTTTGACCATAAGTTATTAGACATTTATTACTTAATTTCCAACGGTTTAGGATATTCTAAAAATCTTTTTGTTGATTTCTAGCTTAATCCAGCTATTGTCAAAGAACACGCTATTAACATTTTAGTCTTTTTTTTTGAGACTATTCTTATGGCCTGGATATGATCATTTTTGCTGAGTGATAGACATGCACTTGAATAGACTATACAATATAATCAATCTGTAGTTGTAATTGCAGAATTTGGTGCACATAGATTGGGTCAAATTCATTAATTGTATTGATCAAAGTTTCTATCTACAATTTTTCAGTCTGCTTGTTCTGTCAATTACTGGGAAGGATAAGCAAAATCTCTCACTGAGATGATGAATTTTTCTACCTTTCATTCTGTCAGTTTTTAAGTATATATTTTGAGGATATGTTATTGGATATATACAAACTTATAATTGTTATAATTCCTTGGTGTATTGGACACCTTTCCTCTCTGTAGCTCTCATAATGGTTCTTGACTTACTGTCTACAGGTCTTATAGTAGTATATACCAACTCTCCTTTGTTAGTTGGTTAGTGTTTGCATGGTATATCTTCTTATATACTTTAAATTTCCTGACTCTATTTTTAGTTGTTTCTTTTATAAGCCGCATATAGCTGGCTTTTGTTTACTTATCTCACCTGACAGTCTTTGGAGCAGCTAATAGTTCATTTACATGTAAAGTACTTGATAATATAATTGGGTTTAAACTTCCCATTGTACTATTTGTTTTCTAACTGTCCTATCTGTTCTTTGTTCTTTTTTTCTTTCTTGCCTTTAAAAAAATTAATAAAGAAATTTTAATTCAGTTTTCTTCTCTCTTTTCTTGTTAGTTATACATTGTGTTTTACTCTTTTGACTGTTATCCTAGAGATTATAACATCTATTTTTCACTTATGAATATACTTTAAATTAGTATTTTAATCCTTCCGTGATGGTGTAGTGTTATTAGAATACTTTGACTCTATAAACCCCTTGCTCTTTTTGGAATCGTTGTATCAGTTTAATTCCACACATGAATAAAATAACATTATACATTATTGCTGTTTTATACAGTTAGTATTTATCTATATTTATCATTTATTTTCATTCCTTCATGTAAGTCTGTGTTTCCCTTTGGGATTATTTTCTTTCTGCTGGAAGAACTCCCTTTAGTATTTCTTTCTATTTTTACTTGTTTGAAACTATTTTGTCTTAATTTTTGAAGCATATTTTTGCTGCATGTGGAATTCTAGGTTGTCAGTTTCTTTCAGTACTTTAAAGATGTAATTTCATTGTCCTCTGTTTTCCATTGTTTTTGTTGAGAAATTGGCTGTCAGTCTCACTTTGGTCCTTTAGAGGTGATGTGCCTTTTTCCTCTGTGTGTTAAAAATTTTTTCTTTGTGTTTGGTATTGAAGGGTTCTGTTAAGATATGCTGAGACACTTTTTCTTTACTGTCTATCTTGCTTGGGGATCATAGAGGTTCTTGAATCAGTTTTAGAATATTCTTTAATTAAAAAAAATTTTTTTTGAGACAAAATCTTGCTCTGTGGCCCAGGCTGGAGTCAAGTGGTGTGATCTCAGCTCACTGCAACCTCTGCCTCCTGGGCTTAGGTGATCCTCCTGCCTCAGCCTTCTGAGTAGCTGGGACTGACTACACGTGCCACCACACCTGGCTAATTTTTGTGTTTTCAGTAGAGATAAGATTTTACCATTTTGGCCAGACTGATCTCAAACTCCTGTCCTCAACTGATCTACTTGCCTCAGCCTACCAGAGTGCTGGGATTACAGGTGTGAGCCACCACCCCTGGCCAGTTTTAGAATATTCTCAGCAGCTATCTCATCAAATAGTATTTCTTCTGGTCTGATCACTTTCCTCTGCTCCTAGAAGTACAATTTTATATCCTTTAGACTCTTTCACCCTGTTCTATTTGACTCCTAAACTCTTTTTCCTATTTTCCATTGTATTTTTTCCTCTTTAGTTTGGAAACTTTCTAATGACCTATGTTTCAATTCACTAATGTTCTCATCTTCTGTTCCGTTCTTATTTTTATTTTATTTTGTTAGGGCTTTATGGAAGTATAACTTATACGCCATAAAATTCACCCATTGTAGGTGTAGCATTCAATGATCTTAGTTAAATTCACAGAGTTCTGCAACCAGAGAAAGAAAATCTTACCTTATTCTTTGTCTTTTCTGAAATTCTTATTTGGTAGATTAGTAGATACAAACAGCCCTGATAGAGCTATAGTTATTTAATTACATTCAGGGAATACTAATGGCTACCTTATCTAAATGGTGAAAGTAGTTTCTAAATTATAAAGTACTGTTAATGTATACTTTTACTCATCCAAATAAAAAATATTTAATAACATATATATCAAAACCCTTGGTAAAAATAAAATGCTATACAATGTAAGGTGTTATTACCATGTGCATAGAGGTGGTTCCTGCTTTTTTTTTTTTTCTTTTTGTAGAAATAGGGTCTCACCGTGTTGTCCAAGTTGTTCTTGAACTGCTGGGCTCAAGTGATCCTCCTGCCTCAGCCTTCCAAAGTGATAGGATTAGAGGCCTGAGCCACTGTGCCTGGCTGAAGTCCATGTTTTTTTGATGGAGATATAAAAATGGACTTTCTTTTTTTAACAGTAAATCATGTATGCTACTGGGTAAGTGAATTTTGAGATGCTAGTTACAACTTTGTACCATTGGTACTTATCTTACCGCCTTGGAACTGCTATATTTTGCATACATGCCTGTCCCCCTCTGTGAATTACAAATTTTTTGAGGAAGGTGACAATGTCTTGCTCATTGTTAGTATCATTGTATGGCACCTAGAACATGGGAAGTATTCAACAAATGTTTGCTAAGTGAATAATGTTAAAGTTTTGCAGCCGACACTTTTAAAAATGATAAGACATATTTTATTCAGTACTACTTCAGTAGGGGAGAGACCTCAGTGTTACCGGAGCTTAACTGAACTGAACAAAAGACAGGAGCCCTTTTAAATGCTGGGATGTACTAAACAAAAGGTACTAAAAGACATTAAGGGTGATTTGTATGTGTAGTTAGGCAGTGTGGGTTTGTTAATTGGTGTTTATCTGGAGGAGAAACAAACTTCTTGTATCCTTAGGACAGGAAATATAGTTGTGCAAATTGGTTCTTGTGTCTTTAGGACAGGAAATATAGCTTTGCAATTTGGGACAAGATGCCCACCAGTTAGGCTCTTACCCTCCTACAAGAAGAACTGGGCAACAGGAGAGGTATCTCTCTGGATGTTTACATTTCAAAGAGGTGGCTCCCAGGTCCTTGAGGAACTGTTTCTGGGTGGTAGAGGATTTACATCTCAA
Organism: Homo sapiens; assembly: GCF_000001405.40. Lineage (NCBI taxonomy): Eukaryota > Metazoa > Chordata > Mammalia > Primates > Hominidae > Homo > Homo sapiens. The sequence goes on from NC_000006.12 coordinate 13,944,176, forward strand.
AGGTACAAGGAAAAGATTTACAGTTGCAAGCTTTCAGGAGTAAATGCTCTAGAAAAGGAAGGTCAGGGACCTATTATCAGGTGTTGGCTAGAACCAACAGTAAGTTATTTTGGCTTAAGAAATAATTTGAGAAAGCTCTGAGCTTTCTCAGGTAGGCATGTTAAGGAGGTGGTTTTGTCATCCTAGGGACATGGCCTTGGGCTGATAGAACCTGAGCTAGTGTTTGTTCAAATGTCTTAGTGTGGAGGGTTGATGAAATGGGTTGTGCTGAAAGTTGCAGTTTGTATAGGTCAAAGTGGAGGCCTAGTTGAAAAGAGGACTCAGAGGAGCCTGACTAAAGTTTGGTCAAGGAGAGGGTCTTTGTCAATAATGCAGGGCAAGGAAAGGTAATTTATGCATGGAAATTCAGGATGAAACCAGAAATGGGGTGGAAATTAGGCATACCTATCAGAATTTAATGTCCAGCACTGGCTGAGAAAGAACGAATGTTTAGTTAACCAGGTGTGCTATATCTGTTATTTGTACTTAATCCTTTCAATACACCTGTGAGGTCAGTACTGTCTCTATGTTACAATCAAGAGACAGAAGCACAGATATTTTAAATAACATGTTCAGGGTCATATAGTCAGTGATCAGTGGAGTTGGGATTCCAACCCAGATGTTTTTGACTTCAAATGACTCTGATCATCAGTATGTATTTTAATATTGTTATATAGCAATTTGCTTTCCTCAGAAGTGATTTACATTAATAACAGTTAAGATTGCTAAGCTGCTTACTAAGTGCCTGATCCTAAGAAGAACATTTAGCCGGGCTTAATAAACATTGAGGAGTGAGAACATAAGAGTGTTACTAGAGATTTGCTTTCTTAGGGTGGAAATGCCCTCAGTTGTCACTTGAATTCCTGCTAACACCCCAATACATGTGGAAAGGTTGCTCTTAGTTATAGAGCCCTGTTATGTTGGAGCTGGAAGGTCTTTAGCCATCAAGCCCAGAATCTTAATTTCTCAGATGAAAAAGCCATGACCCAGAAAGTTTAAGTGATTTACTCAAGATCTCAGAGTCTGTACATTAGAGAGAGCTGGGCTTGATTTAGCCAAAAATTATTGTGGCCCACTTTAGGGATTTACCCTCAGATGTTGTCATCACAAAATGTATGTATCAAATGTGAAACTGCCACTTCGTTGCCAGGGCATTCTTTTAGCAAATAACCTTAAACGTTGGAATTGCCCTTATGAGGAGATGATGGTACTTCAGCAGTGCCCCTCAGAGCCCGTTTAGATGATTTTGCAGAGCTTTCTGTTTTAAACACTTCTGTCTGAAGTGTTTAGTGTGATGCTATAGGTTAGGCAAAAATATAGTAACAGCAACATGACAACAACAACAAAACAACCAACATGGATAAACAAATGAACCTTAAAAAAATTTTTGTCACTACAATGTTTTAACAATTTCAAAGATTGACATAGACCTCTTCTCTTATTTGTGTTAAGACCTATTAGTTTATGCTATTTTTTGTGTTAAACAGTAAAATGTTTATTCCCTTGTTATATTCCATTACTGCTGTGCCTTAATTTCATCTTGACAGTTTTCCTCTGCCTTTTTGGCATCCCATTCATTCTGATTACACCAGTGGATCTGTTACCAGAAAGGGGTCCCAAACCAGACCTCAAGAGAGGGTTCTTGGATCTTGTGCAATAAAGAATTTGAGGTGAGTCCACAGAGTAAAGTGAAAACAAGTACATTAAGGAAGTAAGGGAATAAAAGGGTGGCTATTCCATAGAGAGACTAGGGCATTCCCAAAAGCAAGAGGAGAAACACGTCTGCCTTAGGTATAATGCTTATTTATATATAACAAAGGAAAAAGTCATGGGGAGATGTGCTTTACTACAAGGGTTTGTGACAAAGTATTGTTAATCTTTGTGTAACTACTTTGGAAAGAATCTGTATTATCTTTAAAGCAAAACATTATTATTATTATTATTATTATTATTATTATTATTATTATTTTGAGATAGAGTCCTGCTCTGTTGCCCAGGCTAGAGTGCAGTGGCACAATCTCAGCTCACTGCAACCTCTGCCTCCTGGGTTGAAGCAATTCTCCTGCCTCAGCCTCCTGAGCAGCTGGAACTACAGGCATGTGCATTATGCCTGGGTAATTTTTGTATTTTAGTAGAAATGGGGTTTTACCATGTTGGACAGGCTGGTCTCAAACCCCTGACCTCAGGTGATCCACCCGCCTTGGCCTCCCAAAGTGTTGGGATTACAGGCATGAGCCACCGTACCTGACTGCAAAACTTATTCTTAAACTAAGAATGCTTTTGTTCATAAGATATCAGGACATCAGGACATTTCCTGGGTCTGTTATTTCCTGGGTTTGTTAAGTCCTGGGTCTGTTCAGTAAACATTATTAACTTCTTCCCTTAACTGTAAATATCCTATGACTAAAAATGTCTAGCCTCCTGGGAATCCAGCACAGTAGGTCTCAGCCTCATTTTACCCAGCCCTAATTCAAGATGGAGTCACTCTGGTTTGAATGCCTCTGACACATTTCCCCCCTCCCATTTATAAGGGGACCCTTAATCCTGAAGGTTGCAGAGGGATAGAAATTTATCTTCTGTAGCTTCTTCAGGCTGAACAGGGGCAATGATATTCCTGCCTAACAATTTTTAGGGTCTCTTGTATTTAGAGTTGGGAGGAGTTTAGTCATAAAGTGTTAGTATGGTGAAGGTCATTCAAAACTCTGAGTCCTGATGAAAGATGATACCTGGAAGATTAGTAAGTATTTAAGAAAACATTGAGTAAGCTTATCCTGAATTATATACAAAGAGTACAACAGCAATATATTCTACAACTGTAAAGCGAAATCAGTAAAATTGTCTAAAATTAAATAAGAGCTTTCTATGAACTGGGCAATTGTGGGAACCAAGCTGATATGGGGTCGCTAGCTGATTTCATTATGTGTCCAGAATTAGAATAGTGATTCAGATTTTTATGTTAATCATGCCTCATGTTTCTTTTGAGCAGCAGCCAGAGATCACTGGTTGGTTCACAGGAATAAGCAGGGTCAGTCTAAATTGCAGAAAAAACTCAAAAACAATGGATGAGACTAGAGTCTGGTAACAGGTGTACCATAGTTTGTGAAACATAATTTTTCTCTCTCCAGTCCCTATTTTTATTTAAACAAACCATGGTAGGACTGATTTGTTGGCAAAATAAATTTTAGTCTTATTGTATGTGGACTGATTTGTTGGCAAAATAAATTTTAGTCTTATTGTATGTGGCCTGGTTATTTGTATAAAGTGAAGCAAGAATAATTATTTGCCATATAGGCTCTTTTGGCTTTGATGGAACTGTGTTCTATAATCTAATCTTAGATTAGACTTTTTAAAGCCTTGAGACCAGTCATGGATTTATGTGTGTCTGCAAATATGAGTTGGATAAGTTTCTCTCCTCTGGATGTCCCAAGATATTTGGGGCTCCTGGGCCTGTCAGAAAGTGACATTCTTTACTTGCTACAGGTCAGGAGCCCTGTACAAGGCTCAAGATATGAGGTCAGTTTTCTTAGGGGCTTTAATTGGCTCTATAAATGAATTTTGATTCCTTAAACCAGTTTGTTTACATTTGAAAGCATGTCAGTCATTCCAGTCAAAGCCTTGGTAAAATAACCAGTGTCTCCAATTGTGTCTTGTCACAAAGGAAAAATTCTTACTGGACTTATGTAAATAGCTATATCACCATAAGTTAAAAATACTCACAAATAGTTTCCAAATTTGGGAGAAATCAGGTAGAGAGAAAGAAATGTGCTCTAAATTTTGTTTACAGTAGTATATTATACTCAATTGTTGAAAGCTGTAAATAGCTCAAAATAAAAGTTTTCTTGACTCTGAAAAACAAAACAAAGGCAAAAAGTCATGAATAGATTATTTTGGTCTTCTATTAGTTGTCTATGCAATTCCTGTTTTTCTCAATATTTATGAATACATTAGTTTTCCAAGAGTCTTGGAAGTTTTTCTTCGTTTTAATGGCATACATTTCAAAGCTGTGAAAGTCCTGCTTTATAAGAGTACTTGTCAGAGTCCTATAACTGATTATAAACTGCCTTTTGAAGAGAATCAAAACAAGACAATTGCTTGTAGATGACAAAAAGTCTTAGGGCAGCTACAGTCAGAGACACAATTGACAAGGAAATTTGGCCCCTTGTGGCACACAATAATTTAAGATAACAATTATAACTATTAATGATAACATATACTAAGTTATACCAGAATTATAGTAGTTTTGCATAATTTTGGAACACATACCAATAACACATTTAAATAACCCAAAAAATGTCAGATGCCATTTTGTATTTGACAGTACTTCCTGTATGATTTTAGTATGTCAAATAAGTCAAATATGCCATTATTGGACTTCAGGGGACCTAATATCTAAAAGGATTATCAAGTCAGGAAAGACTTATTAAGTCTTTAGGTCCTACTTAAGTCCTAGTTTGATTTGGGAATGTTTGTTAAATAGCAAAGGTGTAAAACACTTTATGTTATAAAATAGAATCTCAGGTCACTGTAAGTCATTTATTTAGCCAAAATGACAACTTAAAGATTTTAAAAAGGCAAAAACCTTTACCCATTGATAGAGGGAAGAGTTAGCTTTCCAAATAATGTCTCTTTTCTCTCCTTTCTTTTTTTTTCTTTAGTTTATTCAAAAGACAAACAAAAATCTTTTATCTTTTAATATTACATGAAAATCTTGTTCAAAAGAGAAAGCCAAATTTCACTTTTGCATTAATGTACTATTAATGTCAAATCCAATTTTTAATAAAATCATACGGACAAAATCTACTCACTCCTAATCAGTTTGACCATAAAGTAAGATTTTCACAAACCTTTTATAACCCTTTAAATTTTTTGTTGATGGCAAGATGGCTGCCACTGCCTTTGCCAGTGCAGTGAGAGCAGCTTCAGGAATCTTATAGCCCCTGAATATTTTGGCATCTTCAGCCTACCAAAACTGTGTGTCAAGAATGCCTCTCTTATTTCTGCATTGTCCACTGGACGTTTTAGTCATATTCAGACACCAGTTGTTTCCTCTGCTCCCAGACTTACCACATCTGTCAGAAACCTGACATGTGGGCATCCTGCGGTAATCTTTAATAGAGTGGCCCCCTTGCTTCCAAGTGTCCTGAAGCTGCCAGTCAGATCTCTAACATTCATTTGTACACAAAAAGGCAAGAGAAAGACTGTGAAAGCTGTCATCTATAGGTTTCTTTGACTTCATTCTGGCCTTTGGTTGACGAGAAAGGCTGGTTATAAGAAAAAATTACGGAAAAAGACACTTGCAAGAAAAAAGCAATTGAGGGAATCTGTGTTCTGCAGTAAAACCCAGAGTGAACTCTTAGATAAAATGATGATGTCCTTCTGGAAGAGGTGAAAAACTGATATGACGATGATTCTTATCAGAAGTTATCATGATCGAACAAACCTGAAAGTATAGATCAGAAGTTTTACTTGTTTCTCAGTTATTGAATATGTATCTTTGTGTACGATATCTTCACAAAAATGGGTAAGTATAAAACTTGATGTAAATTGTACCAACGAATAGGTAAACATACAGTGCCAACGTTAAACTTATAAAAGTTTTAAAACTTAAAAAAAATTTTGCTGAAGAGTAGATCAGTGCTCTAAGAAAACCCTGTTGTGCATTTTTCCAGTATTCAATTTATGGAAAAACTAAACAATACCCTCTTAATTTTAGTCAATTTGTTCACACACAGAATTTCTTTTACAAGATTAATTTTTCACAAACTTTCCACCATTTGCTCAAATTTTTAGCTTTATTCTATCTAACTTAAAATAATTATTCAGCCCTCTGAACTAGGCAAGAAACTTCTCACATTCCCATGTCTTTTTATAAGCTTTTACAAAAAATACATTCTACTTTTCTTACATACCTTGCTCCAATAGTCTCAATTACATATGTTACAATGTTAACTCGTAGCAACTTTTATTTTTGGTGAAAAACTTGGTGAGTGAGCGATTTTAACCTTGTATCAGATTGTAGAGCCCAAGACAAGGACAGAGCTGTAAAGTCTGACCTTCCCAGCCTAGTCAGGGGACCAGGCTAATTCCATACATCTCAAGGCCTTACCTGGAATTCGCTGTAAAGCAGACAAGTCAAATAATTATAAAAAATGTCATAGAAGCAGTTTATGACCTTAACACATTTACCAAGGACAGTATTCAGCTTGCCTAATTTAGACTAAATGTCTAAAAGTCATGTGAACTAAATGACATTAAAGTTTTTATTTTTCTGACAAAACAGGTACTTTTTTTTTTTTTTTTTTTGACAGAGTCCTGCTCTGTCTCCCACGTTGGAGTGTGATAACACAATCTTGGCTCCCTGCAACCTCCATCTCCCGGGTTCAACAATTCTCGTGCCTCAACCTCCCGAGTACCTGGGATTACAGGCACACACCACCACACATGGCTAATTTTTGTATTTTTAGTAGAGATGGGGCTTCACCATGTTGGCCAGGCTGGTCTTGAACTCCTGATCTCAGGTAATCTGCCTGCCTTGGCTTCCCAAAGTGCTGAGATTACAGGCATGAGCCACCACACCTGCACTCCCCCTTTATTTTTTTTGAGATAGAGTCTTGTTCTGTCACCTAGGCTGGAGTGCAGTGATGCAATCTCAGCTCACTGCAATCTCTGGCTCTTGGGTTCAAGTGATTCTCCTGCCTCAGCCTCCTGAGTAGCTGGGACTACAGTCGTGTGCCACCACACCTGGCTAACTTTTGTATATTTAGTAGAGACGGGGTGTCACCATGTTGGCCAGGCTGGTCTTGAACACCTGGCCTCAGGTGATCTGCCCACCTCAGCCTTCCAAAGTGCTGAGATTACAGGTGTGAGCCATTGTGCCCAGCCACTTATTTTTCTTTAAGTCAGTTAACCAGAGCTCTTTCATATGTAAACATCACACACACAACACATATAAATACACGGAGAGATGGAAGAAGATCTAATAGTTATAATATTTTTTATTTGCCAGTTTTAAGTTTCTTAACTGGATTACTGGCTTCAGGCAGAAGACCTTCAAGGAACAGGGTCAGGAAAGCATGCAGTTTCTAGGGCCTAATAAGCAGGCATGGTTGGAAGGCAAAACAGATCCTCCAAAATTAAGAGCCCCATTTTTATACTGGATCCTTGATCCCCAAAAAGAGAGAATTAGCCCATCCCCTATGGGAGTCTTATCTCTCAGTTGGGGTGGGGACATTTCCGTACCTTCCAGGTGGTCAAGAACATGCTTCTCTGATCCCAGTGTGCCAAGAGCAGAGTATTCCTCCCTCATAGCTGCCATTAGCTGTCCCTAAAAGTATATGTCCTACCTAGTTATTACACACCAAGGCTAAAAGCTCTCATAATGCAAGTGATTTTGACCATTCATTTAACCAGTTTTCACAGACAGGCCAGAAGCCTGACTGGTAGGAAATTCCTACCTTTTTGCCAGCATGCCAGGTTTCTGGGTTACCTTTCTCTGAGTGGCTCTGATAGTCTTGCTTGTTGCCCCATAGCTGTGGGGTCCAAGCCACATTATAAAAGAAAATCATCTTTTTCCATTTCGTGGACCCATAGGCAAAGACTCTCAGTTTTGCAAGATGCCACCCAACAGGCTATGTGGGGGAAACAAATGAACATTTTCCATTTTGTCCAGAGCAAAATACACATGACAAACTTAGATACTAGTCACCCCACTCATCACCCAGCATCAACCTGGCAAGGCTCAAACTTGCCCCTTTTGGCCCCTGCCTGTCATCTTTGATCCACTTAAAGTGGGGTGGGATGACCTCTAACCAGGAGTTTCAACATGTGGTCTCTGGGCAAGATGGAAAAGCAGACAGTTGCCCTGCAAGACAGAAAAGATAGTAAAGAGACAGGAGAGAGAGAGAGGAAAGGGAAGGGCGAAAAGCATTGTCTGTTGTGGGGCTGGGAGGCGAGGAGCTCAGGGAGACCAGGGAAAGACCCACCCAGTGCAGCAACACTGAATCAAAAGTCTAGGCAGCTGCTTGTCAGTTGTGAAGAGATCTTCTCCAGCAGGCCGTCAGCTCTCACATTTCCCCCTTTGCGGGAGAGAAAGCTCCTCATTGTCCCACTATCCTGTACATGCCTAATCCTGTCACCCACAGCTGTCAGCAAAGAGTTCAAGGCAGATTAATCCACAGAGAAAAGCGGTCAACATCCCATAGTGTCAAATCCATTTTTGACCAAAAGAGGCCTTACTGAGAGGACCCTCTAACCCCTTACGTCTCGGGAGGGATGCTAACCCTTCTGAGTTGGGTCTTTAACCCAACTTTGTCCTTTACCTGGGATGAAATGTATCCTACGGTTTATCCAAAGTCGGCCAATTGGTGCTGTGCAGACGATTTTCCTTTGGTTAAGTGGGGGTCTCTCCGGTATCATCCCTTCATGGCTCATCACAGAATATGTTACTGGAAAGGGGTCCCAGTCCAGACCCCAAGAGAGGGTTCTCAGATATTGCACAGGAAACAATTTGAGGCAAGTCCACAGAATAAAGTGAAAGCAAGTTCATGAAGAAAGTAAGGGAATAAAAAGGTGACTACTCCACAGAGAGACCAGGGCATTCCCAAAAGCGAGAGGAGGAACACATCTGTCTTAGTTAGGTACAATGCTTGTTTATATATAAGATAACAAAGCAAAAAGTCGTAGGGAGATGTGCTCTACTACAACGGCTTGTGACAAAGGACTGTTAATCTTTGTGTAACTACTTTCACAGGAATATTATTTTTAAAGCAAAACTTATTCTTTTTTCCTTTTGAGATGGAATGTTACTGCAAAACTTAAACTAAGAATGCTTTTGTTCATAAGACAGGACATCAGGACATTTCCTGGGTCTGTTATTTACTGGGTTTGTTAAGTCCTGGGTCTGTTCAATAAACATTATTAACTTCTTCCCTTAACTGTTAATATCCTGTGACTAAGAAAGCCTAGCCTCCTAGGAATGCAGCCAGTAGGTCTCAGCCTCATTTTACTCAGCCCCTAGGCAAGAAGGAGTCACTCTAGTTTGAACACTTCTGACAGATTCCTTGGTGTGGAAACTGTGTGGCATTTCATTCCATTCAGTGACACAGTGGACAGGTGAGTTACTAGTGAAGATGTAGAACAAAGGGATTAGTACTGCCCTGGGTGTGTGTGTATGGTGGGGGGCAGAGGGGTGGTGGCAGTTGTTACTGGCTATAGAGCAGGAGGTAAGTAGGAGAGACTGGGTGAGGATGGGATTTTGGGGCTGTCAGGGTAGTTATCACAGAAGTCAAAGGCATGCAGGGAACAGAGTGGAGGAAGAGTCCAGTGTTTTATATTCACGAGTCATGGAATAGGCAGTGTGAAGCCTCTGGCTTATAAAGTGGCGTAAGTCAGGGCCACTTAGAGAAAGGAAATTTCTCCTTAGAAGAGCAAAGTAGACAATCAGGAGAGATTAGCCATGCTGTTAAAGAATATTAAGGAGTGGGAATGAGGAACATGGGAAGGCATAGATGCGCCTTCTCTGCATTCCTTAGCACTCTGTGGGTCCTGCTCATGCGACATTGACCATCAAGCGTGGTAATGGCTGAGTTCCTTATGGGCTCCCCCTCTAGACTGTATATTTCTTGAAGGTGAGGCCATCGCCAGCACCTAGCCCAGGGCTTATGCTGTACTAAACATTCAGTAGGCATTTGGTTAATGAATGAATATACATGGTGGATGGGCAGGGGGAGAAACAAAGCATCCATGAGCACAGATGTTGGAAAGTAGAGAGAAAGCTTTGCTAATGATTTTATTTTTATCTTTTTATTATGGAAAAAGTTTAAACATATTCAAAAGTAGAGAAAATGATATAATGAATCCCTTTTTACTTATCACTCAGCCTCAACAGTGATCAACATATGGCCAATCTTGCTTCATTTATCTGCCCCCCTCCCCATTGGATTATTTTGAAACAAAGCCCAGATGTCATATTATTTCATCTGTGAAACCTCAGTATGTATCTTCAAAACATTGAAGAGACTTGCCTTTAAATAATATAACTGCAATGTCATTATCACACCAGAAAACAATTGCAGAGTAATTCCTTACTGTCATGAAATATTGGTATTCAAATTTCCCTTATTGTCTTGTAAATTCTCCCCTTCCCCATTGGTTGGTTAGAATTAGAATCCAAACAAGGACTACTCATGTATTTAGCTAATAAATCTCTTAGGCTTTTAGTCTATAGCAAGCTTTTCTAACCTGTGGCCTGTGGGCCACATGCTGCCAGGACAGCTTTGAATGTGGTTCAACAAAAATTCATAAACTTTCTGAGAACATTATGGGATTTTTAAATTTAAATTTAAATTAAATTAAATTTTTTTTTTAGCTCTTTGGGTATCATTAGTATTAGTGTATTTTATGTGTTGCTCAAGACAATTCTCCCTTACAGTGTGGCACAGGAAACTGAAAGATTGGGCATCCTTGGTCTGTGGGTTCACCCTTCTTTTTTTCCTTGCAATTTATTTATTGAAGAAACTGGATCCTTTGTCCTGTAGAATTTCTCACAGTCAGAATTTTAACTAACTACATCCCCATGTACTTTAATTCATTTTTCTGTCCCCTGTATTTCCTGTGAACAGGTAATGAGAACCTGAGGTTTGATCATATTTTCAGATTTTTGGCAAGAAGGCCTGTGAAGGTGGAGGGGCTCTACGCTTCCTGCTGCATGGCATCAGGAGGCAACTGCTGCCTTGTCCCTCCCTTTGTTGTGTGAAGCCCCATCAGTGAGCACAGGTGTTGTAAGCCTGACCTGTGTGTCATCCGCCTCCTTATCTGTTTTTTGCTTTGTGATTTTGGCAGCCATTGATAATTATTGTGTAGGTTAGGGGTCAGTAAACTTTTTATGTAAAGAGCCAGATAGTAAATAGTTTTGGCTTTGAGGGCCAATATGGTCTCTGTCATTGTAGTAGGAATGCAGCGTTGGACGGGATGTGCATGAATGGGTACAACTACGTGCCCATAAAACTTCATTTACCAGATTAGATTTGGACCTACTGGGAGTTATCTGCCAACTCTTGATCTAGATTGATTATTGTACTAAGGATTACACAGTAATACAATTCCATCATTGGTTGAAATCCTTCTATAAAAAGAATTTTACCTCATCAATTATTTGGTTACTTTAAAGGCATAACAGAAAGGAAGCTGCATATAAAGAAAAGGCAGAATAAATTCTTGTGTCTTTCCCTTGGTTATTTGGTTTCAGAGTGGGTTATGTTCCTCACATCTTCCAAAGGAGTTCATTTTGTTTTTTAAGTATCACCATGAAATAATGGCTTTTTAACATACTTGGTGTTTCAGTCTTTCTGGACTTAGGCCCTGTGGGTACACAGGAGGAGCCCCATGGCTGGTGTTGGTTAACAGTTGCACAGCAACCACAGGGCCCTTGATGCATTATGTGCTCCATGGCAGAATGTTTCCATGTCTCAGTTGTACTGTTATTGTAAATTGTATGAGTGGTCTCTGTCTGCAGCTTTATGATCCACCATGGTACCATTTTTTAAAAGTTTTATTAGGCCAGGTACAGTGTGGCTCACACCTGTAATTGCAGCACTTTGGGAGGTTGAGGTGGGAGGATTGCTTGAGGCCAGGAGTTCAAGACCAGCCTGGACAACATAGCAAGACCCTATCTCTATGCCCTCCCCATTTTCATACCTTTATTAGGTATGAAAATATATGGTTTTCAAATTCAGAAATTTGATTCTTTCCAACAGTTTTACATAATATTTAACATTTCCATGGGCTAAAACTTTTTATTAGCTCCCACATATGAGTGAGAACGTTCAGTACTTCTCTTTCTGTGCCTGGCTTCTTTCACTTCACATAATGTCGTTCAGACTTATTCATATTGCTGCAGATGACAAGATTTCATTCTTGCTTAGGGCTGAATAGTATTTCATTGTGTATACCTACCACATTTTTATATCCATTCATCTGTTGATGGCCACTTGATTCCAAATCTTGGCTATTGGCTATTGTAATAGTGACCAGCTGTCTGTTTTTAGCTTCTGCTGCACACTGTCTCTGCTTTGGCCTAATATATCCTGACTGTTCTTTGCTTTTTTTTTTTTTCCTTTTTTGTTTTTTTGAGATGGAGTCTTGCTCCCATCATCCAGGCTGGAGTGCAATGGTGTGATCTACGCTCACTGCAACCTCCACCTCCCAGATTCAATTGATTCTCCTGCCTCAGCCTCCCTAGTAGCTGGGATTACAGATGCATGCCACCACACCCAGCTAATTTTTGTATTTTCAGCAGAGATGGGGTTTCACCGTGTTGGCCAGGTTGGTCTCAAACTCCTGACCTCAGGTGATCCACCCGTCTTGGCCTCCCAGAGTGCTGGGATTACCTGCGTGAGCCAATGCTCCCGGCCTGTCCTTTGCGTTAGACTACTCTATAATGTTCTTTCTCTGCTTAATGTATCTTGGCTCACTACAAAAGTGTCGTAAGTTTCACTTCTTTCCATGGAGGTTTTCCAGACTAATTATGACCGTCTTCAAGGATACCAACGGCTGAGCTCTTTTTCTCTCAACCACAAATATAGGAAGAATGTATTTATAATTTAAAAGCTTCCCCAAATTCATCATTTCCTGGGCTGATATGAAAGGAAGCCATGCTCTACTTTCTTCCTGCTCTATAGTCAGTAACAAGCACCACCCCCCGCCCCCCACCATACACACACACCCAGGGCAGTACTAATCCCTTTGTTCTACATCTTCACTAGTAAATCACCTGTCCACTGTGTGACCGAATGGAATGAAATGCCACACAGTTTCCACACCAAGGAATCTGTCAGAGGTATTCAAACTAGAGTGACTCCATCTTGCATAGGTGCCTTTTGGGATAGAGTATTTAGAATGTCTGTCACACGGCAAAACTACTTAATATACAATAAATATAAAACTATCTTTCCTAGCAATCTTCTTTTTATGTAAGTATCATTTTGTCTCATTTAAAAAACACTGCAGGCTTTTACTTTATCCTAATCTTCACAGTTGAATATATGTCAATCAACAATGCCACATTATGTGGCTGTGTTGCAAAGTGACACATTCATTAAGATTGATTCTAAAAGGCCTATTGAGAAAAGCCACTGAGGGCAAATAAATTCAATAAAATTTAATCTATAGTTCTTTTTCTTCTTGTCAAGCTTGGATTAAGTCATGTATTAAATGTGGTAGAATATAGAAAGTTTTTAAATTTCCTTTTAAAACCTTTTTGCCCATTATTAATTGAGGCATTTCATTAATTGGATTGGTGACATTTTTGCTGAGTCCGAGTACGGTTGGACCTTGGTGAACAGAAATCTGCTTCATCTCATGAGATGTTGTAGCCATTTTTATTAATGCTGGAGAAGAGATGGTGTATTCTTTAGAATTATGGAAAGTGAGCAAAACGTTTTGGTTTGTGACTTTGTTTTTATTTTAGGATAATATTATAAAAATAATACCTTTGTGGCTTTAACTGTATTTGTAATTTTTAGAACACTGTGAATACTGAGATATTGTAGTGATAACTATTTTGCTAGTATGTAAAGAAACATTTGTGGAAAATTTAAAAGCCTTAAGGACAAAGTATACTTCTTCAGGTTGACATCTGGACATTTACAGAGAAACAATCCTATGAGAATTTTATTCTCTGAATTGTATTAATAGATACTTTTGGTGAGCCTAAACCTGAAGCTGATTGTGGACAAATATTTATCAATTGGAGATTTTAAATGATGAAGACAAAGAATGGAATTCTTTTATTTTTTCAACATGTATTGAGAGCTTCCTAGATGCTATGACTTATAAGTCTTTTATGTTTTTTTTAATGTTTATAGATTTCTTGGGAAGTTCATCTGATTTGATATTTTTATGGACATTTTAGAATGTTAAATTTATAATCTGTTGGGAGGCCGAGGCAGGCAGATCACGAGGTCAAGAGATAGAGACCATCCTGTCCAACATGGTGAAACCCCGTCTCTATTAAAAATACAAAAGTTAGCTGGGTGTGGTGGTGTGCGCCTGTAGTCCTAGCTACTTGGGAGGCTGAAGCAGGAGAATCGCCTGAACCCGGGAGAGGGAGGTTGCAGTGAGCCGAGATTGCACCACTGCACTCCAGCCTGGCAACAGAGCAAGACTCCATCTCAAAATAATAATAATAATAATAAAATCTATAATCTGAAAGTCTACATTATAAAATGTGTAGCATTCAAGAATATTTATCAAGACAAAGTGCTGACTTCACCACACTCAGAAGGGTGTGGTATACCATTCATGGATAGGAAGAGGTGGGAGGAGTCTTGGAGACATTTCAATATATTTATATGGCAGGTATTTATTATCTACTCTGTGCTAGCTTATGATAGGTGCTTGTGCTAGAATGGTAAGCAACATATTAGTGGTTCTTATATTCTTATAATTTACATTTTAGTAGTAGAAATTTAGAACAAACAAATAAGTTAAATTGGGCTTCTTGAAGTTTGTTGAAGGAAGTAAACAGAGTGCCATAATAGAAAATAAGGGGTAAGGGATTTTGAAAACGAGTAATTGGAGAGGACCTCCTTGAGGACTTCATATTGAGATCTGCTGTGGTTTTGGATATTTGTTACTTCTAGACCTCATGTTGAAATTTGACTAGATCTCTCATGAATAGATTAATGCTCTTCTTTGGGGGTGAATGAATTCTTATTCTTGTTAGTTCCCTTGAGAGCTCATTGTTAAAAAGAGCCTGGCACCTCCCCTGTCTCTTGCTTCCTATCTTGCCATGTGATCTCTGCAGATATCGGCTCCCTTTCATTTCTTCCCATGGATAGAAGCAGCCTGAGATCCTCTTCATATGCAGATGTCCAGTCCTGAACTTGCCAGCCAGCCAGAATTCTGAATCAAATAAACCTCTTTTCTTTATAATTTACCCAGCGTCAAGGTATTCCTTTATAGCAACACAAAACAGACTAAGGCAAGATCTCTAAGAAGGAATGAGATTAGTATGACATTTCACATTGAGCAAACAGCCTAAAACATGAAAGACTTTGTACTGTTCATGGAACTTAACAAAGGCCAGGGCGGCAGGAAAACAATAAGTTCAAGACAGGGTTGGAGGGAAGGCAGAGGCCAGATTATACGGTACCTTGCTGTGTAGAGTTTGGATTTTAATCTCTATGTAATGAAAAATGATTTAAGTGTAATAAACGGATGGTAGATATAATCCCATTTACATTTTTAGAAGCTTACTTTGGTTATTGCAATGAAAATAATTTATAGTGGGGCAAGATTAGAAGCATGAAGATAAATTAGAAGGTTCTGCAATGAACAAGGTCAAAACCTGGATTAGGATGTTGATGATGAAGATGGAATGAAATTGGAAGATTGGAAACATACTTTGGTTGAATTGACTGGCTTGCCAATGGATTGGACATGAGGAGTGAGGTATAATGTAGAATCAAAGGTGACTCCTAGTTTTTGAAAAACTGAGAGAATGGTGGTGCCATTTATTAAAATGGGGAAAACTGCAGGAAACAATTTGGTGGTAGTGAGAGGTGAGGGTTGAAATTTGTCTTAGACCTGTTAAATTTGAAGTGTTTGTGTTAATACAAATGGAGGTACTGTAAGCCCTCTGGAACTCAGAGGGAAGGGATAGGCTGCAGACACAAACTGGGGGGCAGTCATCATGTCATGATATTCAAAGCTACTGGAGGAGATGGAACAATCCAAGGGAAAGAGTGCAAGCAAGGGCTAGGGAGTTCTAACATCTAGAGATTTGATAGAAGAGGAGCTGGCAGAAAAGATTGAGAATAGTGATCAGTGAACTAGGAGGAAAGCTGGAAGACTGTGATGTCATGGAACCTGTGAGAATAGATAGTTTCAAGAGTAAGGGTATAGTCATTGGGAAGAAGGTGAAGGACAGGTGAGACAAGGTGAAGACAGAAAAGGATCCATTTGCCTTTACAATCAGCCTCTGCTTTCAGGAACCTTGTCTTGATTGTCTTTGCATCCCCAGCATCTTGCACATGGTATGACACTTAATAGATATTAAGTAAATGCTTGCTGAATTATTAAATGAAAGTGATAATATATCAAAAGAGGGCTACATCATGAGTCCATCAAGAATTAAAACCTAACTTGGCCAGGTGCAATGGCTTATATCTGTAATCCCAGCACGTTGGGAGGCCAAGGCAGGAGGATCACTTGAGGCCAGGAATTTGAGACCAGTCTGGGCAATATACCAAGACCCCGTCTTTACAAAAAACAAACAAACACAAACAAAAAACCAAACCCAACTGTTACTCTTTTAAGTGAATTCTATAGCAGTTGAAGACGACTTTTCTGTCAATCACAAATGTATTGATGAAGGACAGTTGGTGATTTTCAGCCATGGCTTTGGGAGTAATATGTACTTTTTTGATGGAGGGAGAGAGAGAGTGTGTGTGTGTGTGTGTGTGTGTGTGTGTGTGTGTGCGCGCGTGCACATGCATGTGATGTACAGTATTAGTTACATTTAGTGAAATAGGCATCAAAATAATCTACTTAAGTTTGAAATTGTAGAAATGGTACATATAACCTATGCTAATTTCTTTAGACATTTTAGTTTTTCTTGATAAGGTTAGAGAGTTTTATTAAACTTTGGCCAAGGGAAATTATGAAGGAAGAAATTAATAGGAAAGAAATTAGTCTAATGGAAGAAGATTCAGTCATTCTTAATAATCTAATTTTCAGGCCATATTCTTATTAATCATGATCTTAAATTATATCTTTGTTTGCATCTTCCAAATAAAGAGTAAGGTACTAAGCAAAAACCTAGACTTATGAGCTTTATATATTATTTGTTGGCGTTCCATATAGATAATATAAACAAAAGAGAAATAATGACATTTCCCTCTCAGCTTATCAGGTAGCGGAAGTTATTACAACATTGGTAAATTGTGCTTTACTTGCTGTACTTACTATCTGCTCTATCTATAGACAGAAAACCTGTATACCTTCTGATACTGTGTTCAATGCATATTCTGTCTACTACCAATTTAGAATGCTGAAGTACCATATCAATGGATCCATTATTTCTAAATTTCTAGTCGCATCCATATAGTGCTTATGTATGTAAAGTATTTACACCTAAATGATTCCATTGAATCCTCACAACCACTTTGTGAGGCAGGTGTTGTCTTTTAGTCCAAGATCACAGTGTCAGAGCCAGGTCCCAAATCTCGGTCTCCTGACTCTAGATGCTATGTGCTTCCATTGTAGACTGCCTGCAAGGGATGGTCATACTCCTGGCTGCACTTCCAGAGTCTTGAAGAAGAAAGCAGATGTGGATACCTAAATATAGGGTGCGGAGTACCTGGTTTTTTTCTCTCTTATTCCTGAACATTTATTGGTTTAAAACTGCTGGCAAACAGCACAGCATAAATCACAACTCCATATATAAAAATAGTGGCCTCTCTTCCAAAATTAATAACTTAGATTGCTAGGTTATTAACTTGGCTGTATCCTAATAAATAGATTATGACTCTCCATCAAATTAAATTGCATGTTCTTGGAGGAGGGGGGAGGTAAGAGTTTTAATTGTTGAGGGAGGCTTTCTGGAATTGCTCCTTATGCTGCCAAACAACCATTAGGGGTTATGGGTATTGTGGGTTAAATTCTTCTAGAGTCAGCTGATGGTCCTTCAAGAATGAGTACTTGGCATTTGTTGAGCCTATTCTTTTTAGGATTTTTGAGTTGGAGACTTTTATTATAGTGAGAAGGATTTTTTTGAATGGCATTTTAATGAAAGGCATAGTTTTTAATGAAAGGCATAGTAAAACCCTTAATTCTGAGACCATCGTCTCTACAAAGTTCAACTATTGTTAATGCTCACTAAGGGATAACTGATAATTGGGACTGAGGCCAACATATTATTGTTAGTAATTATTAACAGTAATGAGAGTCTTTTAAGCTCTAACTAGAATCCAGCTTCTGAATCTCTAGGTGGAAAAACTGGACTTTCTTGGAGGTAGATGCCACATGTGTGGTTTAAGCTTAATTTGAGACTCAAGCTCCATAAATAATGAGGTTAGGAACATCGGGTTTTGTGAATGAGCAATTGGGTGTCAGAGAGATGGCAAGCATGTGTACTTTATCAATAGCTGAGCGTAAAAACCAATGTTCTGCCTTGATAGTCACAAAGAAAAATGATGCTACAAGTGCTAGAATCTCTCATATGTTTTTGAAGATAGAGTTATTAGTCAAAGAATTTAAGACATCATAGAAACTGATAATCAAGAAGTGAAAGTGTTTGAAGAGTGATTCTCCATTTTGCACAAAATAAATTGAACATAGAAGCAGGTATTTAGCACCATTTATAAAAACAGAAACCATAGTTAATGAAAATGACAATACCTTAACTTCTATCAGTTTTCTTGTTACAGAGCCATTTAAAATATATTGTCTCATCATCTAGAAAGCAGTGTTTACAACATTTATTTTCCAGGATGGGAGGAATATTTTGGAAATGAGAGTTGAAATTTGACAGTTGTCTTTTCATAAGGGGAAAAATATAATCTCTCCTGTTGATGCCGCATTAAAATGGTTGATGGATTCTATAAGAATGATTCAGGCTACATGAAACTGTATATGAAATATTTTGAAGAAACTCAACTTACCCTAAGACCTATACAATTAATTCATATGGACAGTGGAGTAATACATAGCATAGAGCCCTGGATAGATAATAGGATCACAGTGACAGCTCTGTTTTTTGTTTTGTTTTTTTGAGCTCTACTTATTTTGACTTTTTTTGTCCTGACTTCTTATGTAATCTTAGGAAAGATACTTCAATGGATGTTCATATGCCTATTAAGTGGGAATTATAATTTCCCCTTACTGTAGTAGAGCTTATGCAGTGTTTCTAAAATTTTTGAGCTTTTTAAAAAGACTTGAATTAATAGAAGTTATCATAATACAAATTATTAAAGTTTATGCATGGAAGAATACATAGAAACTGTATTTTGACTGACAGAACTTGCAAGATGTATGGATTGGACAGCTTCAAAGTTCATAAAAGAGTCTTCTAGGTAGGCATGATACTCATTGATAAATGAGGGAAATAATTTCTTTGGGCAGAGATTGGCTTTGGATTAATTTGGAAAGAAATAGCATGCTATTTTGCTTATCTATTGTTACAAAAGCACCTCAAAACTAGTGGCTGGAAACAACAGCCATTTTATTGGTTCATGAGTCTGTGGCTCAGCATTTTCTACTGGGCTCAGTGGGGCACATTCTTCAGCTGTTCTTTCATGGTGCTACTCATTCAAACAGGTGTTGTCCCTGGTGGTTAGTTGAGGCTGGATGGTCTCTAATGGTCTCACATGACTAGAGTTGGTGCTGGCTTTTGTCTGGGCCTTTCTCTCTATGGTTTCTCATCTTCAGAGAGGCTAGCCTGGGCTTCTTTGATGGTGGTCTCAGAATTCCAAGAGAGCAAGAGCAGAAGCTTCAAGACACCCTGAGGTCAGAAATTTGCTTCACACTCTTAATGTTGGTCAAAGCAAGTCACAAGGCCAAGATTTAAGGGGTGGGGAAAAACAGATTCCTCTACTTGTTGATCAGATGAAAAGAAGATCACATTGTAGAAAGTATTTGTACAGGTCTGTGGAGAATTATTGCAGCCATATTTGCAGACAAGTTGCCACACATGATAGGGGCTAGGGCAAAGAGTATTTAGGGGAGATGGTTTAGTAATAAATTAAAAAATTTGAAATTGAAGGGTAATATCATGAAAAAGTGGGGAAGAAGACCCAAAAACAGTTCAAGATCCAAACAGCAAAGACTCAAGACAATCTCAGTTAAGAAAAACACGAATTTTTTAAAATGTAAAAAAAAAAAAAGAATCATTATCTAACTAGTATATAGAAATACAGGTCTTTGAATTAAAAGGTAGAACTTGAAAGGCATTATTTAGGAAAGATAGCCAAAGGCAAAGGAAAATGATTCTCATACCCTTGAGTGTCCAGTTTATGGATTCTTAGAATGAGACAGTTTGATATAGAGGAAGTAAAAAATAATAATATGCAAAAAGGAGAATTCTAAAAAGTGAATTTCAGAAACAGTTAACTTAGGGATGAGTATCAGTTTGGTACATATCTTTATGTAATAGCCGCTGAACATGCTTAGTATTGCCAATGTTCTGCCCAAATTAAACTTTTATCACAAATTTCCATTTTTCCATCTAGGTAAATATTTGGGAAAAACTCCAGGAATTATAGTTGGCAAGGATTCTTGAAAGATAGCAAGCTAAAGTGGCTTGCTATCTTGCTCTCTCAATTCTACTCTATCTGCCTTTCCTGATCCCAACGACTCCTGGAGCCAGCAGACCCCTGAGTGCAAGTGAAACCCCAAGCTTTGTGAAAGCTGAGGGTGGGGAGTGGGGAGCAGATGGGGGATTCCTTCCTAGGCTTGGCTGGTACCGAGGGCTGGCATCCATTTGATGAGTCCCACCAGAAGATCAGGATGCACTGGATACTGTGATGAACTTGACCTACAGAGGGTGGGGACTCCTGGGAGGAAAACTGAAACTCACCCTCACCCCATAGTGTGTGTGTTCCACAAGAGACCAAGGAGAAAAATCCATAGTTGGGTGCGTCCTTTGGAGCAGGAGACCTTGGAAGGGTCCTGGCAGCCCACCTGCTGTCACACTGCTAGATCACAGGAGAAGAGACCATTGTGTTTCACCCTACTCATAGAACTTCAGTTCCATGGGTCCTTCAACAATCAGACCTGAACCCCAGTGATATAACAAAGAAAAATATTGGCACTGTAGCCAAAGGGAAGGCAGTCTATGAGAACAGACAGAACTCACGCTGAATGTGATGGAGCGGCAGCCAGAGACAGATGACAACCTGACAAAAAATAGAAAGAGCACATAAGGAGATGCAGATGCAGCACAAGAAGACTTTCTAGAGATGAAATGCATGATTTCCCCATCAAACATTTTAGTAAATGAACTGAAGGTGATAATGATCATTCTTGGGGCTTGATTTGGTAGCCTAGTTGGTCAGCTAGAAGAATCTGAAAGTACAGAACAAAAATATAAAGGAATGGAAACCACAAAAGAAAATAGATCCAGGAAATATAACATGTGAGTAACAGGAAAGCCAGAAAGAGAAAAAGGAACAGATGGAGGAAAGGCAATAATTAAGTAAATATAAGAAACAAATTTTTTGAGCTTAAAAATCAGGACTTGAGTCTGTAAATTCAAATAGCTTATTAAGTTCCAGGCAAAATTTATGAAAAAAGACACTCTGGATTTATTGGAAAAGTTCTTGAACTATATATTAAGAATAAGAGGCAAAATCTTAGAAGCTTCTAGACAGAGCAAATTACTTACCATGAAGAAGTATCACACTAGCAGCAGATTTCTCATCTGTGACACAGAAAACTAGAAATAGTAATTTCTGCAGGCCATGGAGATGTTACCAAAATACCAAGGGTTTGGTCTAGGCCCTACTTGCTCACCACACAGAAAGCCAATCACGAGACGATGAGTATTGCCAAGGAAGAAGGCTTTAATTGGGTGCTGGGGCTGAGGAGATGGGAGATCCTTCTCAAATCCATCTCTCTGACAGACTAAAACCGAGGGCTTATATAGCAGGGCAGAAATGTAACAATGTATAAGAAAACAGGAACTAGAGAGGGGCAAGGAAGCAATCATGATCAGTGAGGGGCCCCTCAAGGATCTGGTGTGGTGATCTGGTGAGTTTCAGTTCTTTGATACTTTTTTTTGAGTGGACTGGAAGTACTCTCCTGAGGACGGAGCTCAGATAAAACAAATACAAGTT
This sequence comes from Homo sapiens, assembly GCF_000001405.40. Lineage (NCBI taxonomy): Eukaryota > Metazoa > Chordata > Mammalia > Primates > Hominidae > Homo > Homo sapiens. The sequence continues at coordinate 13,966,048 of NC_000006.12, forward strand.
TTAAGCTTTAAGACAAGAAAGGGCAATCTATGTTTATACAAAAGAATAGTCTATAGGACTACTGGGTTGGTTTCAGAGAGAAAAAAGACAGCAGCCAGAAAATCCCATACATTTCCCTGTCAGGAGGAAATTTATTACTACATAAGAATTTAGAAATATCATCACCTATTTTCTGACAAAGATACTCAATAATACAAAGAAAAAGTAACTGAACAAAAAGTTAACCAGAAACACAGACCTTGAGATACAGGAAGATGACAGGAGGGAAATATTTGGAATTGAATCAAATAAATCAAGTGAGGAGGAAAGAATGAGTTAATATATAACAGCCTTTACATTAAAGGTGAATGAACTTGGAAAATTCACAAATTTTTAGAATTCATTAGATGTTTTAATTGGAAAATTGTCAGACTGAGTTAAAAACCAAAACCCAGGTCAGGCATGGTGGCTCATACCTGTAATCCCAGCACTTTGGGAGGCCAAGGTAGGTGGATCGCTTGAGTACAGGAGTTTGAGACCAGCCTGGGCAACATGGCAAAACCCCGTCTCTACTAAAAATACAAAAATTAGCTAAGCGTGGTGGCGCACACCTGTAATCTCAGCTACTTGGGAGGCTGAGGCGGGAAGATTGCTTGACCCCGCGGGGTGGAGGTTACAGTGAGCTGAGATCATGCCACTGCACTCCAGCCTGGGCGACAGATCAGGAACCTGTCCCCACCCCCCCACCCCCCCACCAAAAAAAAGTAAAACCCAGTAGTATGCTGTTTTGTGTGTGTGCGCGTGCGTGTGTGTGTGTGTGTGTGTGTTTTCAAACATGCTCTCTCTGTTGCCCAGGCTGGAGTGCAGTGGTGCAATCATAGCTTACTGCAGCCTCGGCCTCCTGGACTCAAGTGAGCCTCCCATCTCAGCCTTCTGAGTAGCTGGGACCACAGGCGTGCACCACCACGCCTGGCTAATTTTTGTATGTTTTTGTAGAGACAGAGCTTTGCCTTGTTTCCTAGGCTGGTCTCCAACTCTTGGGCTCAAGTGATCCACCTATCTTGGCCTCCCAAAGTGCTGGGATTACAGGCTGTGTACCACATCTCTGGCAGCTGTTTATAAGAAACATTCGAGATAAAGTAATTGAAGATGGAGTTGAAAGGATGCACATACATCCCAGGCAAATGCGGAGTCAATAGAACAAGTAATATAAGCTTTAGATAAGGTATAAAGGTTGATATTTAAGTTAAAGGCATAAATAGGATAAGGAAAGACATTATATAATGACAAAAAGAGGCAGAGTTTATGAAGAAAATAAAGTTGTATATGTAAGCTAACATAGCCACTAACTCTGTAAAACAAAACTGTTAGAAATGCAAATATAGTTATAGTGAGACACTTAAATAAACCTCTCTCACTTGTTTTGACCTGTGATAACCTTGCACATACCTTGATGATTCAGAAATTGAATAAATTAAAAAGTTAGGTTTAATAGGTATTCTAGAACCACACAGAATATTTCTTTCTAGACTACTTAGAAAAATATACTTTACCACAAAGAGCACCATAATAAATTAAAAGGAAAAGATTTTCTTATAGATTTTGTTCTCTGATCATAATCCCGTACTATTAGAAATTACATATGGCAATAAAAAATAAATTTTATTTAGAAATTTAAGAAAAGTATATAACCTTTTTAAAATTTATTAATTTTTTTTTAAAAAATAGAGATGGAGTCTAATATTGCCCTGGCTAGTCTCAAACTCCTAAGGCTCAAGTGATTCTCTACCCTCAGCCTCCTGGAATTACAGGCGTGAGCCACCATGCCTGGCCCTGTATTACCTTTATATCAAAGGAGAAATCAAAGGTCAAATCACAAGCCATCTAGAAATCAATAAAAGGTACACAATCTATTCCACAAGCTATGGGATAGAGTGAAAGCTGTAGCCAGTGGAAACACTATAGTCTTTAGCTATTTTCAGTATTTAAGCATAAAGACAAAGTGTACTCTTAGTATGAATTGGGAAAAAAATCATAACAAACAAAAATAAATTAGAGGGAATAATAAAGATAAAAGCTGAAATTAATGAAATTAAAAGTAACAGAAAGGATAAATACATATATTAGTTGGTCTTTGAAAAGCACAGTAAAATAGTTTGATTAGGTAATTAATAAGGAGTAAAACAATTTAGAAGACTATAAGTGAGAAAAGAAACAATCAGGGGCAGAGGTGATGCAAAGACGATAACAGAATTTGCGGAACTCTACAGCAATGAATTTGAAAACCCAGAAGAAATGGATTTTTTCTTTGTCAAATATAAATGTCTAAATTTAACTGAGGAAGAAATGAACATTTGAATAGGACAGTAACCCTAAAAGAGATGGAAAAATGATTAAAGATCTACTACTGCAAATGACAATGGAATCATATGAAATTACAGCTGAGTTTTATGTAACTTTTAAAGAACACATAATTTTATCAGTATTTAAACTGTTCCAGAAGATGAATAGCTCGTGTTTCACTTATAAAATAAGCATACAGTTAATACCAAAACCTAACAGCACAAAAAAGTCTAGAGACCAATTTAATTTTCAGTACAGATGTAAAGTTTCTCTAAGATTTCATTTGGGGTGGTATTCAGGCTGATACTGGTGGAGGAGAAAAGAACCAAATAAAAAAGAATGCACACACACAAAGGCCACTAATAAATAAATAAATATGTCTGATGACCTTTGTGTATTTATATATGTAAATGTGTTTATGTGTACATGTGCATGCATGTGTGCACGTGTGCAAATGAAATCTTAGAGAATGCCTATTGCCTGTGAGTTTTGTTGAATTATTTATTTATATAAATTTCTGTAATACTAAGTAGGAACCTAGATCTAAAAACACAATAAATTCTCAACGTCAAGTACAGCATGGTAACTGTATTAGGGCACTTTGGGTTGTAAGTAACAGAAATCCATCCAGAAAACTAGCATAAGCAAAAAAAGGAATTTATTGGCTCACAGAAACCTTCATACATTATTGACTTCAGAAACTCAGTTCAGGTCTCATCAGGCTTGTCTCTGTTTTTTGTTGTTGTTGTTGTTGTTGTTGTTGTTTTACCTCTGCCTCTTGTTTTCCTTTACTGTCTTAATATTTTTGGCTTTATTCTTCTTCTTCTCCCTCTTGCTGCCATGGCAGTTTCTTGATACATCTTTTTCTGGTTCTGTATCCCTTCCCCTGGTCCCTGTCCTGTCCTGTCTTGTCCCTAGCTTCAAATAAAGAGTTGCAGTCAGGAGCTTTGAGAAGTCCGGTTTGGGTCACATGCCCATTAGACTAATCCTTGTGAGTAGGGGAGTAGTGGAGTATGTGATCAGCCAGGCCTGGTCCCAAGTCCACACCTTTGGAGAGAAGGGAGGTACTATGATTAGCACAGCCCACCCACCATTTTGTAATTTGAGTGAGTAGGAAACACTACCCCGAAGAAGTGGGGGCAGTTGGGAAGGGAGCAATGTGATCTAAAGGAGAAAAAAAGATCCTAGGTAGACAATAACAACAGGTGTCCACTGGAGGGACTTTGCTTTAAAATATAAGCCAAGTTTGCATCTTCACCATCAAGGGAATTAAGTAGCAGAGTAAGATGGATTTGAGTCTAATAATAAGTGGTTTATTATTTAGGGCTGTGAAAACAATCATTTGCCCAATAGTCCAGGAGCTCAAGCTAATTTATGAGAATAATAGTAGGTAATTATTTATTTGTATAGTCTTATCCCCAGATGACTTATAAAAGGATGAAAGACTGTTCATTGGTTAGTTAGGAATACCAGCTTCATATATTTGAAAATGTATGTATTTTTCTAGGAAAAGAAAACTTTGTATTTATTTTTAAGGCAATTTCAGCATACCAGATTCTTTCCTCAGTGTCTGGTGAGACATACTTTAGCACTTGTTCTTATCAAGGCATGCTACAGATATGTCCATCCTAGAGATTCATCCATTTTCCCTCTTTTGTTAATATATAATAATTTACATATTTATGGGGTACATGTGAGTGTAACATACAAAGAATGTATGATGGTCAAGTCAGGGTAATTAGGGTATTCATCACCTTAACTGTTTATTATTTTTATATGTTGGTATTTCAAGCCTTCTGGTTACTTTGAAATATACACATTATTGTTGCTAAGTATAGTCACCCTAGTATGCTATCAAATATTAGAATTATTTCTTCTATCTGATTGTATGTTTGTACCCATTAACCAACCTCTCTTCTTTCTCCCTCTCCCACCTCATCCTGAGATAAAGTTTTTTAGCTCCCATATGAGTGAGAACATGAGGTATTTGTCTTTCTGTGCCTGGCTTATTGCACTTAACATAATCACTTCTGGTTCCATTCATGTTGCTACAAATGACAGGATTTCATTCTTTGTTATTGCCAAATAGTAGTTCACATTTTTTTATCCATTCCTCTGTTGATGGGCACATAGCTTGATTCCATATCTTTGCTATTGTGGATAGTCCTGCAATAAAAATGGGGGTGCATGTATCCCTTTGATATATTGATTTCTTTTTCTTTGGATAGATACCAAGTAGAAGAATTGCTGGGTTGTAAGGTATTTCTATTTTTAGTTTTTTGAGAAATGTTTATACTGTTTTCCATAGTGGTTGTACTAATTTATATTCTTACCACCAGTATTGATTTATAGTAATGCATGAATATTAAGGTGATAGATACGTGACATTTCAATTTTGTGAAAAAAATTAATGGACTTACATACAGATCATATGGAAAAAGTAAGTTGATCCAAAATACGCGTTGGCAGAAAAATATACATTTTGAATGTAGAAAAATCTGTATCTATAAAAATAGCCAAAACAGTCATAGATTCCCTTTCTTTCCTTTTTCGTTTTCTATTTCCTTTCCTTTCCTTTTTTACTGTGAAAGATAACACTAGTACAGAAGACGTACTGTGTGATGGAGTAGCACAAAATGAACACTTGTAAGTACCACCCCGGTCAAGAAGAGAGCATTGTTAGCCACTCCATAGCCTGCACTAAGTCTGCTTGGACACTGTTTTTTCTTCCCTTCAAGGCGTCGGCTGTCCTGATGATATGATTTGGCTCTGTTTCCCCACCCAAATCTCACCTTGAACTGTAATAATTCCCACATCAAGGGTGGAGCCAGGTGGAGATAATTGAATTATGGGGGCAGTTTCCCCCATACTGTTCTCATGATAGTAAGTTCTCATGAGATCTGATGATTTTATGAAGGGTTTCCCATTTTACTTGGCATTCATTCTCTCTTGCCTGTCACCACATAAGATGTGCCTTTGCTCCTTTTTCGCCTTCTGTCATGATTGTGAGGCCTCCCCAGCCATGTGAAATTGTGAGTCCATTAACCCTCTTTTTCTTTATAAATTACTTAGTCTTGGGTATATCTTTATTAGCGTAAGAATCAACTAATACAGTAAATTAGTACCAGGAGTGGGGTACTGCTATAAGGATACCTGAAAACGTGGGAGCAACTTTGGAACTGGGTAACAGACAGAGGTTGGAACAGTTTGAAAGGCTCAGAAGAAGACAGGAAAATGTGGGCAAGTTTGGAACTTCCTAGAGTCTTGGAGGGCTCAGAGACAGAAAGATGTGGGGAAGTTTGGAATTTCCTAGAGACTTTGAATGCCTTTGACCAAAATGCTGATAGTGATATGGACAATAAGGTCCAGGTTGAGGTTGTCTCAGATGGAGATGAGGAACTTGTTGAGAACTGGAATAAAGGTGACTCTTGCTATGTTTTAGCAAAGAGACTGATGGCATTTTGCCCCTGCCCTAGAGATCTGTGGAACTTTGAACTTGAGAGAGATGATTTAGGGTATGTGGTGAAAGAAATTTCTAAGCAGCAAAGCATTCAAGATGTGATTTGGGTGCTGTTAAAAGCATTCAGTTTTATGTATTCACAAAGATATGGTTTGGAATTGGAATTTGTGTTTAAAAGGGAAACAGAGCGGCTGGGTGCAGTGGCTCATGCCTGTAATCCCAGCACCTTGGGAGGCCAAGGCAGGCAGATCACGAGATCAGGAGATCAAGACCATCCTGGCTAACACGGTGAAACCCCGTCTACTAAAAAATACAAAAAAAAAAAATTAGCTGGGCATGGTGGAACGCGCCTGTAGTCTCAGCTACTCAGGAGGCTGAGGCAGGAGAATGGTGTGTACCCAGGAGGTGGAACTTGCAGTGAGCTGAGATTGTGCCACTGCACTCCAGCCTGGGTGACAGAGCAAGACTCTGTCTCAAAAAAAAAAAAAAAAAGCAGGGCATAAAAGTTGAGAAAATTTGCAGCTTGACGATGCAATAGAAAAGAAAAACCAATTTTCTGAGGAGAAATTGAAGCTGGCTCCAGAAATTTGCATAAGTAATGAGGAGCCAAATGTTAATTGCCAAGACAATGGGGAAAATGTCTCTGCATATCAGAGGTCTTTATGGCAGCCCCTCCCATCACAGACCCAGAGGGCTAAGAGAAAAAATGGTTTTGTGGGCCGGACCTAGGGCCTTGCTGCTTTGTGCAGTCTTGGGACTTGGTGCCTTACATCCTAGCCATGGCTAAAAGGGGTCAATGTACAGCTCAGCCCATGACTTCAGAGGGTGCAAGCCCCAAACCTTGGCAGCTTCCATGCGGCATTGAGCCTGTGGGTGCACAGAAGTCGAGAATTGAGGTTTGGGAACCTCCACCTAGATTTCAGAGGATGTATGGAAATGCCTGGACGTCCAGGCAGAAGTTTGCTGCAGGGGTGGGGCCCTCATGGAGAACTTCTGCTAGGGCAGTGTGGAAGGGAAATGTGGGGTTGGAGCCCCCACACTGAGTCCCCACTGGGGCACTGCCTAGTGGAGCTGTGAGAAGAGGGCCACTGTCCTCCAGACCCCACAGTGATAGATCCATAGACAGCTTGTACCATGCATTTGGAAAAGCTGCAGACATTCAATGCCAGCCTGTGAAAGCAGCCAGGAGGGAGGCTGTACCCTACAGAGCCACAGGGGCAGGGCTGTCCAAGACCATGGGAACCCACCTCTTGCATCAGCATGACCTGGATGTGAGACATGGAGTCAAAGATTTGGCTGCCCTGCTGGATTTTGGACTTGCATGGGGCCTGTAGCCCCTTTGTTTTGACCAGTTTCTCCCATTTGGAATGGGTGTATTTATCCAATGCCTGTACCCCCATTATATCTGGGAAGTAACTAACTTGCTTTTGATTTTACAGGCTCATAGGCAGATGGGACTTGCCTTGTCTCAGATGAGACTTTGGACTATGGACTTTTGAGTTAATGTTGAAATGAGTTAAGACATTGGGGGACTGTTGGGAGGGCACGATTGGTTTTGAGATGTGAGGACATGAGATTTGGGAGGGGCCAGAGGTGGAATAATATGGTTTGGCTGTGTGTCCCCACCCAAATCTGACCTTATATTGTAATAATCCCCACATGTCAAGGGCAGGGCCAGGTGGAGATAATTGAATCATGGAGTCAGTTTCCCCTATACTGTTCTCATGATAGTGAGTTCTCACAAGATCTCATGGTTTTATAAGGGGTTTCCCATTTTGCTTGGCATTCATTGTCTCTTGCCTGCCGCCATGTAAGACATGCCTTTGCTCCTCCTTCACCTTCTGCCATGATTGTGAGGCCTCCCCAGCCATGTGGAACTATGAGTCCGTGAAACCTCTTTTTCTATATAAATTACTCAGTCTTGGGTATGTCTTTATTAGCAGCATGAGAATGGACTAATAAACCTGACATGTAGTCTAATCACCGCCAGAGTTTTCATCATAGCTTTACCACCTAAGCTTGCACCCCTAAATGCTACAGCTTGGTTCTGCCTGGTTTGTGAACTTTATATTAATGGACTCATACAGTATTACTCTTTTGGACCTGGCTTTCACTGAACATCATGATTGTTGTCCACAGCTTTTGACAGAAGTGAAGGCAGGTTGGAGATGGGCTGGAATGAGTATCTCTTAGAGACCCAGAGAACAACTCTGACTAATTATAACCCTAGAAAGGTTTAGATTTTTGGTTATTATTCAAGTTCTTTGAGGGATCTTAAAATCATAATAAGATAGATGAAACTTTTTTTTTTTTAACTGTAGCAGTTGGTAGCCTGGCTTTTCAAGAGGAACAATCACCATGCTCTTTTCTGCCATTCCAGGAAGAAATACTTGTGTTGGCTGCATTTCCAGGGATGCTACCAGAGCTCAAGGCTGTCACCTGGTCTTGCCCAGAAGAGCCGTTCTTAGAGGCAGGACTTGATGAAGGCTTTCCTGCTGATGGAATAGGTTTGCTAGAGCTGGCCTTGGAATTAGAGTAGGTATATTTTTTACTGGATATTTGAATATTGAGTATTTCCATTGCACGTTACCAAGAAGTCCCTTATATAAATTTGTATAAATATGAACATTATAATCACATAACACTCTATCTTAACATACTCAGTAATCTGATAGAGTATTTCTGTGACAAAACAAAGCTTTGTTTCAAATAATAGCTCAATATTTTCAAGGAAATAATTTAGGTTCACATAATTATCAGCTAGAAATTGTGGCTGGCCCAACATAAAGTGTTACTGCTACTCTTCTAATGGTTGGAAGCTTGGTACAGAAAGTAGGAATGTGACCTGCTGACTGTCAAATGCTGATGTTCTAATGTGTTCTTACGTATTCATAAACACTCACATGTCTACTCTAGCTTTCTGTACAAAATTTCTAGGTGTAATTTTGCCTAGTTATCTTCACTGGCTGTTTTACTCTTTTTTTCTGATGTCTTTATGCATGTGTTTACATACTTTCTTTTCCTTTTTCCACATGACTTCACATACCTCAGTCCTTTCTATGGCAATGGGGACAGACACTGCTGCTAACCCTACTGGGACCATCAGCTTCCTAACCTCTGGATTCAGGAGAGCATTACATCTGGGTGGGCATGTAGCTGCAAAGAACAAATGACATGTTCCATTTGGGTGGGCTGAAGTCTGTGTGTGGCTACCAGGGGTACTGTTGTAAGAGCCTTGTGCTCAGCAGGGAATGAATGGGAGCTTTCCAGGTGGCAGATCACCAGTGAACTGCCCAGGGCTGGGGACTGTCCCATGAAGTGAGCTAGGACTGTGTGTGGTGACCAGGATAGAACTCCTTCTTGTTCTTTGGCTGTCATCCTGAAGATGTTCATCCCACAGGAGGAAAAAAAATGCCAGCCTTGTGGAACTGTGAGCAGGACATAGTCATATTTTGCAGTGACATGGGCATGTGTATCCTGAATGGGATCAGGATCAGGAATGAGGGAAATTAGGGCACATGGAAGGAAAGGAGAGAGAAGAGTTGATGTTTCTGTCTGTATATCTTTTTTGTGTGTTAGGCTAGATACATAGAGCTTGGTTCGTGGTAGCAGTTTTGAAATACAGGCATACATATACTGTATTTGAAAAAATCCTACCTACATTTTTGGCTACCAGAGATTCTATAGATTGACTTCTTTTTGCCACCAACTATACATCTTGCCACTGCTATCCGTTACACATTCTTGTAGAATAGGAAGTCAATTAAAAATTAAAGTCTTAAAATGAAGATAATATGTATTAATAAGTCAACTATTCATGATTTTTAAAGTTATCCAGATTCAGCTACCCACTGCCTTTCTCTGTTAGTGCAGTATGATCCATAGCAAATTTAAATGTCTAGCGCAGTTACTCTCTGCCCTCAGAACTGTTATGACAGCTTTCTGCTATTATTGCTTGGAGATGTGCTCAGAAAATCAAATACATTTTGATATTTTTCTAAGCCAAACATAATTTAAGGTGAATCAACTACCAAAAATACTACATATATTAAAGCTAATTAAAAATAATTTTGAGATTTTGTATATTACTGCTCCCTTCCATTAGTACTGAAAATTGAGAACTGACTGTGCATATGAAATTAACCTTCAACCATTTGTCCAAAGCTGGTAATAACCAGTAATAGTAATTAGTAATAGCAAGGACTGTAGATTGTATTACACTTTCCTTTTACTAAAGAAAGAGTTTGCATGAAATAAAGTAGATGAGTAAGTGAATGTTGAGTATTTCTTCATAGCCATGCACAAGTGATTTCTTCATGTCTAGAGACATAGCTATGCATGTTTTATCTGTGTTTACTTCTCTTTCTTGGGACTTAGACTTGACTTGTTCATAATGCTTATATCGGGTGTTATATGCCTCATTCTTCCTTTAATGAATGTATATGCACAGCTGTGGTTTTCAAGACTGGTATTGAAACAAAAAAATTGAAATGGAATAATCAAACAATAAAAGCATTTATATAACAGATTTCTTTACACTGAGAAGGTAAGAACAGTCTGCTCTACTTAAATATGCTCTTATCTCTATCAAAGCAGTCTCTGAAAACACATTTTTAACATTTGTCCTTAATATTCCCTTTTGTGTATTCCTAAGCACTATTGACGGTATTTAGACACCTGGTATTTACACCAACAATACTCTGAATTAGTTTTCTGTTTCTGATACATGTCCCATTCTGTTTTCAGAGGCCAGAATTTGTTACAAGTTTCAGAGTGAAAATCTCTTGTATCTAGACTAAAGTATGTTCTAGAGCACATAGCTAGCTCTACACTGTCCTTTACACCCATTAGGATTCTTAACTCTTTCTTCACTATCATGCTTGTTGACTGAAACAGCTAAGCATGGAAATAACACTTTTCCGTTCCAGGGACAGAAGTGTGTGAAAAGATGAAGGGGATTTAACCTTTTAAGTTTATTGCTTCTAATCCTTGAAGCTCAGAAAATTCCATAAAGCACTTTTCAGAAACACCGTTTCAGTGAACTGTTCATTATATTAGAATCTCTTTTCTTCTTTACAGACCCTTCATGTGGCCTTTATAAATATGCGTTTGAGACAGAGTTATATGCAGAAGTTGAAAATGCCTGGAAGATTTCTGGTTTCTTTCACTACTTATCCTGCCTTTTTGCATCGCTGCCAGATTTGGATGATATGATATTCAGAGGGGCACCTTAATCAAAGCCATTCTTCAACAAGACCCACCTGGCATAAGATTGCACACATAATTCAAGATGGCCAGTCAACCTCCTGAAGACACTGCGGAGTCTCAGGCCTCTGATGAGCTGGAGTGCAAAATCTGTTACAATCGATACAATCTGAAACAGAGGAAACCCAAAGTGCTGGAGTGTTGTCATAGGGTTTGTGCCAAATGCCTCTACAAGATCATAGACTTTGGGGACTCCCCACAAGGTGTCATTGTCTGTCCTTTCTGCAGGTTTGAGACGTGCCTGCCAGATGATGAAGTTAGTAGCCTGCCCGATGACAACAACATCCTTGTAAACTTGACTTGTGGAGGCAAAGGGAAGAAGTGCCTGCCAGAGAACCCTACTGAGCTGCTGCTCACCCCCAAGAGGCTGGCCTCTCTGGTCAGTCCTTCTCACACGTCCTCCAACTGCCTGGTCATAACCATCATGGAGGTGCAGAGAGAGAGCTCCCCGTCCCTGAGCTCCACTCCTGTGGTAGAATTTTATAGGCCTGCGAGTTTCGACTCTGTCACCACTGTGTCACACAACTGGACTGTGTGGAACTGCACGTCCCTGCTGTTTCAGACATCCATCCGGGTGTTAGTGTGGTTGCTAGGTTTGCTCTACTTCAGCTCCTTACCCTTAGGAATCTACTTACTGGTGTCTAAGAAAGTCACCCTTGGGGTCGTCTTTGTCAGCCTGGTCCCTTCGAGCCTCGTTATTCTTATGGTGTATGGTTTTTGCCAGTGTGTTTGTCATGAATTTCTAGACTGTATGGCACCTCCTTCTTAACTGATATGCAAAATAAGAAATTGGACACACATTGCCCTGTTTGAGTGTGAAGTTAGATAATTTATAATTTATTTTCTTTTATGTTCTTTATGATTAGTATCCATGACATTAACAAAACCCTTGGCCACATGTTGACTTGATTGGTTTTCCTGTAGGCTGGAAGTAAAAATGTTCATTTCTACTTAGGGGTTAGCAAAATTGTATAAGCTCACACTTCATGGAGCACTGACAGCAGTGAGTCTTCCCAGAGAAAGGACAGGGTTTCTCTCAGCACTGCCAGACAGACGGCAGGGGTGTGGTGTGTTATACTATAGGGAGAGCATGGATCCCTCCTTTCGTATTCATGGATGTTCTATGATGGCAGTTGGACACAAGAGGAAAGTTGCTCTGAGACACAAAGTGTGTACTCCTTTCCCACCCCATACCCCTGGTATTGGAACACCCTAGAATTGTCTTCAGGTGTTTTCTCTCTTAAGTCACTCTCTGTGGTCGGCGATCCCATTGAGATACTTGTTTCCTCTGCCCATTCTCCCTTGCCAAGAGGAAACTCGGTTCCATTCCCTTGGGTAGTTTCAACTGAATACCAGTTTTGCCACATTACTAAGGAGAATGAAAAGCACTGAGGAATTTGCATCACAGTCAGCTTCATGGCAGAATGTGGCCATTTGTCCTTGAGACACACTCTTTCCTCCATGTCTGTTTTCCTCTCTCCTCAGTCTTATCTGAGAAGAATGGAGGAGAAGGAACTTCTCATACAGCGGTTATTATTGATGAAAACCTTCATTTGAGTCTTTCCTTATAACATCTTAGTTTTGGTTTTTTTAAACCACATTGCCCAATCAGCCTCACCCCTTGTCCTGAAAAGGTTCCATTTAAATTAGTTGCTATAAATTCATCAATACTTTTTTTCCCTATTATATTTTTGGTTCTATTAGGATTTACTTAACTGAATCTTATAACAATTCGAGGTGAACTGTGGCAATGAAAACCAGAAACAGTTAATGAGATGCTTCAGCTCACAGTTTGAAGTGCTGAGAACCTAAGTATTTTGCTGTACGGTACTGAGCTGTACCAAAATATGATGGTTTAGGTTTATGTGCAAGACTTTGTGTTGTAGTCTAGACAAAGGGGTGGGCAAGAGACATGCAAAGCTGAAGCCCTGCTTGAAAAGACCCTTCAAGGAAGTAAAATGGCAGGGGCAGAGTGCAGCTTAACATGTTGCTATCCCTGTTGTTTTTGAGTTGGTTTTGGAATGGATTCAAGTTCTTACACAATTTATTTTGAATACAAGCATAATCTAGGTGATTTGAGTTAATGAACTTCTTTTCATGATGTAGGGAAAGTTGAATGTATATATTTCTAAGAAGAATTTGTTTAGCAGATTACAAGTTGGCAAAATAGACTGTTCACAGAAACTAGGCAAAAATTTAAAAAAACATTCTAGTCTCTAAAACCCATTACTAATGATTAACATTAAAATATTTGTAACTCTTAGAAAGGGGGCATTACTAAGACGACTTTAACTTGTTATGAAATCTTTGTTGTGTGATGCAGGTACAGTGCGCCCATTCCAACTGGAATAGCAGTTTGATTTTAATTGTAAAACTAAACTTCGGGAATATGTATGCCCAAAGTAAGTAGGATGAGAATAGTATACATGGGATATGGTCCAATGAATTTAAGCCCCAAGATACAGCTAAATACATTTATGATTTCATAAAATCTAGTTTAGATAGCATTGTGATGCAATTTCCAGAAATCCATTTGTGTTTAGAGTAAATACCATGTTTAGAAGATGTTTTGTGGTTTGGATTTATATATTTGTAAGGTTTTTTTAAAAAAATGTTCGTTTTGTTTGAAATGTAACATTGAGTAAATTGGTGAGTTATATAATGAGATTTCTAGAAAGCTCTGGACATGGGTACGATGTGTTTTGCTTCTCTGTATAATGTCTACAGTGATAAACTTGTGTCTCCGTGTATTGTGGCAGTCTTTTTTTCTAGTTAATTTGGCTTTAGAGAGCAATCTTTGTATGACACCAGAAAACTCTTCATGCTATTGAATGATAAAAAGATAATGCTTTAATATTTTATTCACTGTGATACTATTTTGTTTGTCTATTAAATTGTTATTATTTCCAAATTTAGAAGTTTGATTTCTCTGACTTATGGTTAAAATTCAGTTATGACTTTGCACCTCTGTTAGCTTTAGATAACGGCAAACATGAACATTCAGAAACGTTGGTTCAGCTAATGCCTTTATCATGCCCGTGAAGACTTCAGAACTTTCCAACAAAGGGGACCTAACCCATCACACTTTTAAAAGGCCTTCATAGTTTTTTTATTTTATTTTATTTTATTTTATTTTATTTTATTTTATTTATTTATTTTAAAGCAGGGGAGAAAAATTAGGGGAGATGAAATAAAAATATCGTCTTTATAAATAAATTCTTCGGTTTTAGTTTGTTTGATTTCATTTCCAGGTTTTTGCCTAACTACTCAACAAAATAGAATCCAACTTAGTTGGGAAATCACTTACCTTGTATGGTCTGGGAAAATTTTAAAAATCACATGGCATCTAACTATGACCATTGTTAGGCAAAGTAGAAATAATTTGGGAATATGCAGCAGTTTTATGCTTATGATAATTAGTGAATTGGCAAGAATAATGGTTTCATTCACTTCTGAAATGTTTATGTAAATGAGCAAAGAATCAGCTTAAAGAAAGCAGTTACCTGTATTGGTCATAACTTACAGGGTGAACTCATGCATATCTGCCGAGAGACTTGAAAGTGATATGTATTTGCCAGATTGTAAACAGATACTAGGCTTCGAAGACACCTTGAAGAAATGTCTTAGTATGTCAACCAGGTAGTCCCAAAGCCAAATGAATCCTGGTATCGATAGGCAAACTGATATAGCCATTATGAATATGAGCTCTGGAGTAGCTCATATTTATAGTTCATGAGATACAGATGAGATGCAAATGAGTTAGAGAGAGTATCATGCAAGCAAACTACGATTTTATGTTTCTGCATTTTTTGAGACTTGCTCTTTTTGCCTACTCTTCTTGGTAAAAAATACCTCAACTTGATTCCTTGGAAATGCCATAGAAACACCACATATTATTCCAGAGCTTTACTCAAAACCTGTGAGAGTCTTGGTATGGTCCCTGAAAGAGTTTAACCATTTGCTCTCCAAGTTAGAGTTTTGTGTGCTTTCTACATCTTTGCCCTTTTATTAAATTATTCTCTCTACTTCAATACCCTTTATGAATTTTTACTCCTTTGTGAGGAACTGTAGGCTTAGTATTGGGTCTTTCCTTACACATTTATTTTTGTGTAAGAGAGATTTAAAAAATGTGAATGTTGAAATTTGAGTAAATTCCAAATGAGTCCTGGAGGTAATACAGATTCAACCCAGTTCCTGATATCATTTCATACTGTGGTAGACTCCAAATCTGCATATACTCAGTGTGCAGACATTTATGGTTCTGACATGAAGGTGCTTTAAGCTTATGAATAAAAGAATCAAAAATTAAATTACATCCTGAACACTGTGTATACTAAGTAGGGATCTGTGCTAATGTATTTTTAAAAGTGTTAAACCTTGATTTAATTAAAACATCAATTAACTGAAAAGTCACAAGCATTTTAATTAAGAGTTTATTAGATTTGTAACATATTAACACTTTAAATTGAGAAGGTTGGAATTTCACAGGAGAAAGAATATGCTCTGACAGTAGGTGGTTTTAGATCTTGTTTTTCGCATGAAGTGTAAGGAAAGTTTCTTTGTACATTCACGTTCACATTACATTTACATTCTTATTACCCCAGATAAGAGGTCTGGCCTGAAGACATAGCTTTGGGAGTCTTTAGCAATTCTTCTTTTTTATAGTCTATTTTTAAGATTTTTAAATTGAAATATAATTGTATATATGTAGTACATAGTGGTGTTTTGATACATATAATGTATAGTGATCAGATCAGGCTAATTAGCATAGCCATCTCACACATTTTTCATTTTTTTGTTGGGAATATTCACTATCCTCCTTCTAGCTATTTAAAACTATATAATCTATTGTTAACTAGGGTCATCCTACAGTGTTATGGAATACTAGAACTTACTCCTCCCATCGAGCTGTAATTCTGTATCCTTGAACAAATTTCTCCCCATCTCTCCCTTCCCTCTACGCTGCCTGCCTCTGGTATTCTGTTCTGCTTTTTACTTCTATGAGAACAACTTTTTTTTTTTAGCTTCCATAGATGAGTGAGAACACCGGTATTTAACTTTCTGTTCCTGGCTTACTTCACTTAACATAAGGTCCTCCAGTTCCATCCATGTTGCCACAAATGATAGGATTTCATTATGTTTTATGTCTGAATAGGATTCCATTGTGTACTATACCACATTTTCTTTATCCATTCATCTGTTCTTAGATACCTAGGTTGACTCCATATCTTGGCTATTGTGAACAGTGCTGCAGTAAACATGGGGTGCAGATGTCTCTTCCATACACTGATTTCTTTCCTTTGGATAAATGCTCTGGATTGCTGGATCACAGTCTTATTAGTTTTTTGAGGATCCTATTCTCCACAGCGACTGTACTATTCTCCCTAGTGACTGTACTAGTTTATATTTCCACCAACAGTGTATTTCAATAGCAGCTGAAGGTGAGGGGGTAGAGAAATGTTGAGGCCCAGAGAGGACTGAGAGGCTGAGCTCTCCAGGCTATAACTCTGAATGCTCAGTAGGGCAGTGGGCACAGCCACTGTCATGGTGCAACCAGAGGGGGAGAATGGACACCAGAGGCAGTGGTCATGGGAGCAAGGATGAGGGGGGAGTTAGGATGATTGGGTGAACACAACAGAAGTAGATTGGATGGTGAAAGAAAGAAAGGTTCTTCAAGCTTATTTCACGAAGATTTTCAAAGATACAGAAAAGTTGAGAAAATAGAATAATTATCACCTGTACACTTATCACTTAGAGTCAATTGTTAACCTTTTGCAATATTTGTTTTCTATCACCCTTAAAAATAAAGAACTTCCCTCTAATTTGACTAAAACATTATTATATTATCTCAGACAATTAAAAATACCTTTCTAATATCATTTTGTATACATTTTTCTCAAATTTTTCTATTCTCAAATATGTTTTGTAACTTAAAAAAAAAAACTCAACCAACAAAAATAAAAAAAAAATACCGGGATCTGGTCTAGTCTCACACATTGCCTTTGATTTTTTTATATCTTTATTCTCTCCTTCTGGAATAGTCACCCCACCTTGTTTTCCCCATAACCTTGACTTCTTGAAGAAAGCAAACCAGTTACCTTGTATGATGTCCCGCATTCTGTATTTGGTGGTGTTTAATTTCTGTTACCTGTATTTTCTGTAAGCCAAAAATCTATAAGCTTGATTGGACTCAGATTTTGGGCAACAAGTTGTCTTAGTCACCTTTGTATCACATCACATTTGGAGGCATAAAATGAAAGGTTGCCCTCCCATTCAAAACACTCAGTTTGATCACTCAGTTAAGGTGGTCTCTACTTCCCCTGTGCAACTGTAAAAAAAATCCATGGGGTGACACTTTGGATCCATGCAAATATTCTCTTCCCTAACAATTTTCACCTGATGGTTTTAACAGCCAATAATGATCCTTGCACGAATCAACTACAGGTACTTCGTTTTCCAAAGATTTGGAGTGTTATTCTAGTGAGAACTAACTCCCGCCTCGACTGTCAGCTGTGTAATGGAGGAAATAGAACCATAGGAGCCAACCCTTGTCTAAAGCTTCAGTAAATCTTAAGGTTTGAATGCATCTTTATAGTTACCCAATTATTGAAGGCATAAACTGGAATGAAAATCACAATCTTTTATCTTCCAATGTACTTTCTATGATCTCAGAGGAGAAAGAAGCCCAAATCATCTGTGAAGTACCTTTTTTTAACCTTTAAATAATTCACTGGACTCTAGCCTTGAACTGTCCACTCTCAACCAATCTCTTGTTGAACATTTCATAGGCAGCTCTCTGTTCATCTGCTGAATCATTACTTCCTTGAAGACTATGTACTCCTTATTCTCAATCTTTGTCAAATCTTAAATTCTTTGCTTTAGACAGCTCTCTTTCCTTGTTATTCTAGTAATTTAGTCTGTTTTTCAGAGTGATCCTGTTTGCCCAGAATAACCTCTTGCCTATTGTCTGACCATTTCATCTCTTCTTAAAATCCCTGCCAGGCAGTGGGTTCCTCCACAGCATTCACTGTGTGTTCCCAGTCTTGATACTCTGCTGGAACTTTTCTGTATATCCACTCCCTGTTGTTAGATCTTTTTCATTCTTCATAGCAGCAAGTAGAATGCATGCAGGGCATCTATCAAGTCATACAATAAATTCTGTAGTCTTTAGATAATGTTTTCAAACTTTTAGTAAGCATTATTTTTAGTACATATATGCTGTGTAATTCTAAACTTAACACTTGCCCCTAATTCTTGCCAATACAGTCCCAATTTGGTTGAGCCAATCACGAATTATGTCTTGGTTAACAGATGTATACTGGACTAAAGTCAGATAATTCTGAGTTGGCTTAATGGTAAATCCTTCTCAGTAGTTCCGAATAAGTTAAACTTTTTATTGTTCCGTGCCTACAAATAAGAGAGCTCATCTTTTAACATAGCATTTCAAAAGAGTTAAAGTGACACTTTAGCTATGAAATGTTATTTTTAATGCCACATAACACCATTAGTCAATAAATGAACATCTGTTTTTGCTATGTGCTGAGCCAAAACCTCCTGCGCTCTTTGTTTCTTCCCCCATTTCCTCTGATTTCTTTAATGTCACTTAGGACATTAGTGACCTAACGCAGTCACTGCCACCTTCCTCCACACCTCCTGTACACACACACGCTTTATATTTCAGGAAACAAAGCTCTGTGAAAGAGAACCACATTAGTCTTCCACTAGCTGGGGATTATCCATTTAAGTATTATTTTAAAATATTTTTGTGATGACTAACAACTACATTTATGACTTCTTGTAGAACAATGGATTCGGCTGCTTGTCTCAGAGGTAATTGTGCCCTCTTTTGCAATATTCACCATAGCTGAGCAATGGAGATTTTTCCTAGCTAAATGATGGAATGGTTGTTGACAGTGATTCCATTTGACGGTTTTTTGTGTTTTTTTTGGTTTTGTTTTGTTTTTGTTTAGACGGAATCTCGCTCTGTCGCCAGGCTGGAGGGCAGTGACGCAATCTAGGCTCACTGAAACCTCCGCCTCCTGGGTTCAAGTGATTCTCTTGCCTCAGCCTCCCTTGTAGCTGGGACTACAGGCATGTGCCACCACACCCAGCTAATTTTTGTATTTTTAGTAGAGACAGGGTTTCACCATGTTGGCCAGGATAATCTCAATCCCCTGACCTCGTGATCTGCCCGCCTTGGCTTCCCAAAGTGCTGGGACTACAGGCCTGAGCCACCACGCCTGACCTGATGTGATTTTTTTTTTTTCCAAGAGATTCCAGTTTGAACTGTGTATTTCTATGGTTAAATTTACTGTCATTACAAATTTTATTGTTGGTTAGAATTTTAAAAATTATGAAATTATTTCTAGCCTATAATTTGACCAACTCTTAATCACCAGTTAAGAGGGAATAAACAATATGCCCTACTTTTGTGGGATTTTTCTGTTGCCAGAGTGGAGAACGGAGAAGTGGTCATTGGGAGACCAAAGAATATTAAATTCTGTCCTTGAAACGGGAGGAAGGTGGCACTGCTAATTACCAGACTTTTGATATAGTTTGGATACTTACTTGTCCCCCGAAACCTCATGTTAAATATTTGATCCCAATGTTGGAGGTGGAGCCTAACAAAAGGTTTGAGTCATGGGGTGGATCCCTCATGAATGGTTTGGTGCCGTTCTTCTCCTGCTAGAGGGTGAGTTCTTGCTCTGTTAGGTTCCCCAAGAGCTGGTTGTTAAAGGAGCCTGGCACTTCCCCCTTCTCCCTTGCTTCCTCTCTGGCCATGTGATCTCTGCACACACAGGCTCCCCTTTGCCTTCTGTCATGAGTGGAAGCAGCCTGAGGACTTCACCAGAAGCTGAGCAGACACTGGTGCCATTCTTCTTGTACAGCCTACAGAACTGTGAGCCAAACATATCTCTTTTCCTTATACATTACCCAGCCTCGGGTATTCCTTTATAGTAATGCAAAAATGGATGAAGACAACCCTCTTTCCTACTTACAGCTTTATATCCCAAATGGGAACCTTGCCAAAGTTTTTGATACGAAACCTAAAGATTCATTATTTTAACTCAAATATTGACTACTTATGATGCATAACATATAAATATTTCTTGATTCTTTGACAAGATATCCATACATGTCACAACTCATTGGAAGGATATAAAGACAAGTATAATGTTTCCAAGGTGTATCTGATTAAAGCAGTAGTTTCAAAATATATGACATAAAACATGTCTCAGTAGCTGGCCCAGGAAAGGAGGACTTCCTGGCTGTGCCTGCTCAGAAGCTGTGCCTATGCATCTTTCTTTTAGAGATTCTCATGAGTGTTGCTGCAGGAAAGGGCCTGAGAAGTCATTTGGTTAAAGAAACTTATTTAGCAGTCCAATCCAATGTTTCCCCCAAACTATGTAACCATGGAAATCTTTCTCAAAACATCTATTAATATTTTGTGGAATTAGTGTTCTGTGGAGCATATTTTGTGAACTCTGCAATACAGAATTGATAAAAGTCATAATATAGAATCTGAAGGCAGACAGAAATCACGAAACCAGTGCATGAATCTAAAAGGCAGTCAAAAAGTCACAATTAGGCAGTGCATCCCAGGAGAGTGGCAAAGTGCAAAGGGGCAAAGGAACAGACCACCAGGAGCATGGATAGTGAAGGAGTATTGATCCCTACACTTGTTCCCAACATAAAACAATTTACAATGAACAATTCTTGTCAGACTTTCATGGAATGACATATTCAAGCTTTGTCTCTAGCCCCTACTAAATATCTAAATATATGTAGAAGGAGATTTCAAGTGGAATAATTAAGTGCTAGTTATTTTTTGAGCCTATGAAACTTCCACAGCTAATTCTCAGAATAGACCTAATATTCCAACTGTTGGAAAACATGTACCAGATTTTTAAAGTTTTGGTCATTGAACGTTAGGGCTGGAAAGATTTTATATATCAGAGGCCAACTGCCTTGTTTTAAATTATCAAACCAACACGTAGACACTGCCTTGTTTTAAATGATTAAACCCACACTTATAAGCTGCCTTGTTTTAAATGATGAAACCAACACTTAGAAATGATCCCTCTCACAAAGGCGAGAGATAGGTTCTAATAAGGACCACTGAAGTCCCAGTCTGCTTTTTACCCTACACTCCCCTGTCTCTTTGTCAATAGCCGTCAATTTATTTTTCCCACATGGGTTACTGAATTTTATGGACAACAAAATATGCAGTGGGACAGAGATTATTTTATGCTTAGAAGCTATGTCTAGCTACAAAAATATGTAATGAGGATATGAAATAATCACCTACATTCTTCAACATCCCATTTTGTTCTCGAGAAGTAAGGTCAAAGCATGTGAGAAGTGAAAACTTATTCATAAGCAGACACAGAGCTTTATCATATACAAGCAGACGGCTGTAGTCATTAGGGAAAGGAAGAGCGTTGAGGTGAGAGGTCAGTACTTGAGTGACAAATGATCAGAATCAGGAGGCTTTCACATAATCTTTCCTTACCCTGTGCAGCACCCTAATCTAGACCCTTACCTGGATAGTTGCAATCATCTTTGAGGCAATTTTACTGCATCGTGTAAAGAGCACCCTATGACATTCTGACCTCCTCGGTACCTGGGATCATGATCAGATCCAGGAAGATGATGTTTGCATGCCCTGCTCCCTCAGTGCATGGACCTCCACTCTGGTGATGGGTCCCGACGCCGTCCTCTCACTCACTCGCTCTCATCACCCATGCATGCTCTCGAGTGGCTTGCGTTTTGGCTTTTACAACTTCACTGAAACTGCTTTCTCAGAGGGACTGATAGCTCTTCAAAAAAGTAACTTCTATTTTTATTAAAATTGTACATCTTCATGGTATTAAAAGTTACATAGTATTAAGCACTTTTAATGAAAAACAGGTGCCTCTGAACCATCCTTCCCTGTCCTCCTAAGGGCAACCACTTTCTACTCTTAAATATTTCTTTCTCTTTACTTCCATATTTCTGAAAATTGTACTTATATGATAATTTCTTAATTTTTTTTCAATTTTAGCCATTATCTATCGATATTCTATTGTGGAAAATGACTTAATTTTCTTATGACCTTCCCTACACACACACACACACACACACACACACACACTCTTTCACTTCTTACATGTTCCCAATATAATTATATCACAATTCTTGGTAAAATCAACATTTGGTGTTTAGATTGTTATGACTATCTAATATCACTCATAGCTGAGGTTCTAGTGTATTGTGAATACATTTTCTTTCATATACAACTTTTTGTTTTCCCTGGAATTAATTGCCTCATTTTAGAATTTGCTTAGTTTTCTTTGTATGTATAACTGAAGCATCCCCAGAGTCTATGATTATTGAAGAAACCTTTCCTTTCTGTCAAACGTGATAGATAATGTGCCAGTTTACTCTCATGGCGACAGCCCTCCTGGAGCCCTTCACTCTCTTGATTTAATCCAGATTAGTTACTTTCTGCACAGCTGCCAGCCACGCATCCTGAGAATTCTCTGATCCCCTTTTCTTGAGTCCCTTGCCGTCTTTTGCTAGGTTTATTCATTTTTTGACAAGAAAGCACATTCTCTACTAGCTTGCTGGGAGAAAAAGATGCATGGAGGTAAAAATGCTAAGACCCTGCATGTCTGAAAATATCTTTCCGTCTACAGCTATACCACTCTGAACGTGCCTGATCTCATCTCAAAATGTCTTTCCTCTAGCCCTAAGCTTGATCGATGATTTGGTTAGAAATCATCTTCCCTCATTGCTTTGGTGCCTTTCAATCCCCACTTTGCTGCAGAGGAGTTATTTAGCATTCTAATCTCTGATTCTTCGTATGTCTTTTTTTTTTTTTTTCCATTTTGAAAACCATTAGGGTCTTCTTTTTTCTCCACAGTGTTCTAAAAGTTCACAATGAGCATTGTAATCTCTGATTCTTTGTATGTCATTATTTTTCCATTTTGAAAACCATTAGGGTCTTCTTTTTATCTACAGTGTTCCACAATGTCGCAATAAAAAAATTAGTGTGCAGCTGTTTTCCCCCATTTGTTTTACTAGGGACTCAATAGGCCCTTTCCATTGGGAAGCTCATGTCCCTCAGTTCTAGAAATGTTCTTGCATTTTAAAAATTTTTTTAATTTTTTTACAAAATAGCTTTCTTTATGTTTCCTTTCTTCTTGTTTCTGGAACTCCTGCCCATCAGCCTTTGAACCTTCTGAGTTGATCCTCTGAGTTTCTTATCCTGTTTCTCATCTTTCATGTTTAATCTGATTTCAGAGAATTTACCTCAAATTTATCTATCAACATTTCTCTTTAACTTTATCATGCTTGCCATCATTTTTAATTTCTTAGCGTGCTTTCTTGTCCTCTGAATGTTTCTTTTGTTGTTGTTTTTTAAATGATACTCTCTTCTTATTTCTTCTCATTCTTTTGTGAGAATATTAATTTTAGAGTTTTTATGTGTTCTTTTGCTCCCTGCGCTATTTCCTCTGAGTCATATTGTCTGTTTATTTTGGTCCCTATCTTTCATGGAGACGATCCTTCAAGTATCTGATCTTTAGCTGTCTTTTCAGTTTAGTGAGGAGCTAAACAAACTAGTCGGAAGCTGTGTATGCATGGCTGGGGCTTGTCAACTGATGGGCCTCCGGGGAGGTGTCTCCTGTTTTATTGGCAGATAACCAATTCTCAATCCATGTAGGTCTTTCTTTTATATTGACGAATCTCACCACAGAGGATAATCCTCGCTGCCAGTGTCTTGGAAGCTGAAGGAAGGAGGATGTCAGACTCCCTTCTCAATATGCAGCCTGTCATTGAATACCTTTGTTTTCAGCAGGGCTCATTCCACCCTCAGGTGCATGTGGTGTCTCTGAGGACAGACATTCTCTGGTCTTCAGCAGGGCAGGGGAGGAGCAGTTGCCAGGCTTCATGGAGGAATAGACAAGGGGATCTGGGAGGCGAATTTTCTGGGTGCCAACTCTCAATGGCCTGGTCCTCTCCAGAGTCACAGGTAGCTGGTGTCTTTAATTCTCCAGCTTTTCCAAGGTTGTTCTGCAAGAATTAGCTTACCCTTCCTCTCCTCCCTGCCTTTCCACTTGCTCCTGCTGCAGGCTTGGGGGCAACTTGCGGTAAAATATATGCCTACTACATTTATTGGCTGTAGTGATTCAAAATAAGCTCCCATGGGTTCCAGAAATGTTAGAACTTTTTCTTCTAATGTATACACGCGATGCAGTGAGAGTTAAAAATGTTCCCAAAGCACATGCAGTGCCATATACCCATTCTACTTGGAGCATGGATGGGTTCACTTGGAGTTCAGAATTGCAAAAGAGACACACATCCTCAGTAGCAATCTCACCAAAGAGAGAGATTCTTTATCAATGGCTGTTAATATCATCTCACTACATTAGGGTGTGAAAAATGTGCAGGGGAGTCTGGTAGATTTGTTTTCCAACTCGCTCTAACATTTCCTATATTTAATGGAGACATGGAAAAATGGTCACTGGCTTAGAAGTTATTTTTAATGGAATTTGAATAACCATGAGCAGAAATCATTCTCTGTTTTAACTTAAGTCTAATAAACATGTCATGGTCCTAAGGGTATAAAATAACTCTCGGGTAGAAATGAGACGTAACACTTGGAGTGATTAATGATCTCATAATCTGAAAATCTCAGATCATAAAAGCCAGTGTTTTTCTTTTAAAAGGTTTATTGTGGCCAAAGTATTCATCAAAATCTATTTTGCAAGATGCTGACATTGTTCTAATATAAAATTCAGAAATAATTAAACATTTGTCAGGCATCATTTGTTTTCAATTGTGCAGGTAAATGTGGGACTAGAGTCTGTTGCGTCTGTACAAGCATCTGACGTTGGTACATCAGCCAACTACTGCATAACTTTGGGTTGTGAAATTATAACATGCTATATATTAAGGAGTAACAAACCTGAAGTGACGTGCTCTGTTGAGCAACAAAGTATTTTTCTGAACTTTTTAAGTTACTGATGGTTATGAATTGTAAATCCTCTGAAGAATGTAAGGCCTTGTTCCCTCTTCCTGTAGCATCTGTAGCATGGGAGACTTGCAAATGATAGCACTGTCAAAGATTTACTGAGCACTTACATATATTCTTAGTTCTGGGTTAACTGCCATTTTTTTTTTTTTTTTTTTTTTTAGATGGAGTCTCACTCTGTCGCCCAAGCTGCAGTGCAGTGGTGCAATCTCAACTCACTGCAACCTCCGCCTCCCGGGTTCAAGTGATTCTCCTGCTTCAGCCTCCTCTAGTAGCTAGGATTACAGGTGCCCGTTACCATGCCCAGCTAATTTTTGTTTAGTGGAGATGGGGTTTCACCATGTCGGGCAGGCTGGTTTTGAACTCCTGACCTCAAATGATCCACCCACCTCTGCCTCCCAAAGTGCTAGGATTACAGGCGTGAGCCACCGCATCCGGCCTGGGGTAACTGTCTTAAAATGCATATTTCAGTCAATCGCCATAGCAACTCTGTTGTGCTCATCTAGAGACTAAATTCAGGATGCTACCAGGTGAAAAAGAAAAGTTGTCTTTTCCCAAACACAGCTCTATTCCTTACAGGTATTTCCTTTAAGCTGTTTTATTATTATTATTATTAAAATGTATCTACTTTACATAGTACCTATAGATTCCAGTCTTTGAGAGTGGAGATACTTAACTCACATTACTTTCCACTGTCTCTTCTCTTAAATTTTATCGATTATGTTATCTGTAATTCTTCTACCAAACTGGTCGTATACTTCAACTTCAATCTAATGTCTCCATGTCTGGATGCCTCTCTTTGTTCCCTAAACTCTGATTCTGAGATCTCAGCTTTTTTTGATTTGGAATGGAAACTCTGAAAAAGGCCAAATGCTATGCTTGCAAGCAGCCTGAAGTAAATATTTTTTTAAATAAACTTTTTTATTTAGAAAAAGCTTTACACTTACAGAAAAATTCAGAAGACAGTAGAGAGAATTCCCATATACCCTACACCCAGTTTCTCTTCTTATTAATATCTAACATTGATAGGGTATGCTTATTACAATTAATGAACCCGTATTAATAAATTATTATTGAGAAAGTTCATACTCTATTTGGATTTCCTTAGTTTTGTTCTAATGTCCTTTTTATGTCCCAGGATCCCATCTAGGAAATTACATTACATTTAGTTGTCCTGTCTCCTTAGGTTCCTGTTGGCTGTGACAGATTGTTAGACTTTTTTTTTTTTTTTTTCAGTTGGAATTTCACTCTTGTTGACCAGGCTGGAGTGCAATGGTGCAATCTCGGCTCACTGCAACCTCTGCCACCTGGGTTCAAGCGATTCTCCTGCCTCAGCCTCACAAGTAGCTGGGATTACAGGCGAGTACCACCAAACCTGGCTAGTTTTTGTATTTTTAGTAGAGATGGGATTTCACCATGTTGGCCAGGCTGGTCTCAAACTCCTGGCCTCAAGTGATCCACCTGCCTAGACCTCCCAAACTGCTGGGATTACAAGTGTGAGTCACCGTGCCCAGCCAGCTTTTCTTGTTTTTCATGACTTTGGCAGATTTAGTCAGGTATTTTACAAAATGTCTCTCAACTTGTCTGATGTTTTTCTCATCATTAGACAGGGGCTATGGGTTCTTGGGAGCAAGATCACAGAGATTAAGTGCCATTTTCTTGCATCATATCATGATACAGACTATGAACGTGACTCATCATGGTTGATGGCCTGGTCATCTGGCTGACACAGTGTTTATCATATTTCTCCTCTGTAAGGCTACTCTTTTCCCCACTTTCTGCACCGTACTCTTTGGAAGGAAGTCACTATGAGCAGCCTGCACTTAAGGAGTGTGGGTTATGCTCCATTTTCTTGAGCATAGAGCATCTAGTCAATTATTTGGAATATTTCCATATGGGAGATTTGTCTCTTCTCCTTCATTTATTCATGTTTTCAATCTTTAGTTATTTCAACATGGACTCATGGGTACACATTTTATACTTTGCGATATAATCCAGTACTACTTTATTTATTTTGTTGCTGAAATTCTTCCAGCTTTGGCCATTGAGAAGTTTTTCAGTTGGCTTGTATTTCCTTTTGACACGTGCTAATCATGGTGGATTTTTATATTGTTTTTCTTTTTGAGCACTTTCTTACTTTGGGAACTACAAGAAGTTCTATATAGATAGATAGATAGATATAGATATATATCTCCTTTGGTGAGGTGTCTGTTCAGATATTTTGCCTATTTGTTAATCAGGTTGTTTGATTTTTATTGAGTTTTAAGAGTTCTTTGTATATTCTAGGTGCAAGCCTTTTATCAGAGATATGTTTTGCAAATATCTTCTCCTAGACCGTGGCTGATCATTTCATTTACTTAACAATGTCTTTTTCAGAGAAGAAAATATTAAAGTCCAGTTTGTCAATTTTTAATAAAATCGAATTTATCACCTTTTTTTGTGGATTGTGGTTTTTGTGTTGTATCTGAAGTTTATCACCAAACTTAAGGTTGCCTGGGTTTTCTCCCTTGTTTTCTTTCTCCCTTCTTTCTTTCCTTCCTTCTTTCTTTCTTCCTTCCTTCTTCTCTCTCTCTCTCTTTCTTTTTCTTTCTTTCTTTCTTTTCTCCTTTGTTCTCTTCCCTTTCTTTACAGTTAAGTCTATGTTTCATTTTAATTTAATTATTGGGAGAAGTTTGAGGTCTGTATATAGGTTCAGCTTTTGATATATGGACATCCAGTGGTTCCAACATCATGGAGGGGACTATCCTTTTCTCCACGGAATTGCCTTTGCTCCTCTGTGAAAGATCGGTTGTCTGTATTTGTGTACCTCCATTTGTAGGAGAAAGGGATAGTCTTTGCTCCTTTGTGAAAGATCAGTTGTCTGCATTTGTGTACCTCTGTTTGTAGGAGAAAGCATTCAGCCTTTCAGCATCAGGTGTGATGCTCCATAGAATTTTGCCTTATAGATGCTCGCTATCAAGTTCAGGTAATTCCCCTTTTTCCTTATTTCCTGAGTTTTTATCATAAATGAGTGTTGGATTTTGTCAAATGCTTTTTCCAATTCAGTTGATAGTATCATATGATTTTCCTTCTTTTGCCTGTTGATATAGTGGATTACATTGATTGATTTCCAAATGCTGAACCAGTCTTGTATACCTGGAGTAAATCCCACTTGGTTATGGTGTATAATTTTTATGTATTGTTGGATTTGATCTGCTAATATTTTGTTGAGGGTTTTTCCATCTATGTTCATGAGACATATTGGTCTGTAGTTTTTCCTTCTTGTAACATCTTTATCTGGTTCTGTTATTTGGGTAATACTGGCCTCACTGAATGACTTAGGAAGTGTTCCCTCTGCTTCTGTTTTCTGCTAGAGATTGTAGATAATTGGTATGATTTCTTCTTTAAATGTTTTGTAGAATTAACCAGAAAACCATCTGAACCTAGTGCTTTCTCTTTTGGGAGGCTATAATTATTGATACAATTTCTTTAGTAGATATAGGGTTATTCAGGTTATCTAGGTTTTCTCATGTGAATTTTGGTAGTTCAGTTGGAAGCTGGACATTTTGTATTATGTGATGAGAACTGGGGTAGATAGGCCTTTAGTGTGAGAATTTGTGTTAATCTAGCTAACATTAATAATTTTAAAATAAACATATAGATAATATTAAAAGCTGCAAAATGCAAACCTTCAAGGACTTCCTATTATCAATAAGATTGAGTTTGAGCTCTTTAGCCTGGTAGCCAAAAGCCTCCAGATTTTGGCTTCAACCTAACTTCTCAGCTTTCTCTTCAAATAATAGTGCTGTCATTTATTGAGCACCTACTATTTACAAGTGTATGACAATAACACTACAAGGTAGAGGTGTCTCCATTTTTTCAGATGTGAATACTAGATGTGGAGAACTGGAGTAACTTGCCCACAATCACACAGATAATAAATGACTAAGCCAGGATTGGATCCCAGGTCTGTCTGGTTGACTGCTTTATTCCTTAGATTAATGTATATTCCCTTTATCGAGCCCTGTATTCCAGTCCAGTCAAATTTGTCTATTCATTGTCCCCCAAACATGCTATTAGCTTTTGCTGTTATCCTTGGAATGCCTGACTCACCTGCATTAGTAATGAAATAGCCAACCAGAGCAACTTAAATAATAAAGACATAGTTATTTCACATAACAGAAAATTTGGTAGTGGACAGTCGTAGGATGGACAGAATGGCTCTTCAGTGTTACCAATGGCCCACACTTGTTCCTCTTTGTATTTTTGTCATCTTCATAGTTTTGGTGGTATCTCCCATATGTTCACTAGAAGGCTGATTCAGCTTTAAGAGTCATGTCTTGGCCAGGCGTGGTGGCTCACGCCTGTAACCCCAGCACTTTAGGAGGCTGAGGCCGGTGGATCAGAAGGTCAAGAGATTGAGACCACCCTGGCCAACATGATGAAACTCCGTCTCTACTAAAAATACAAAAATTAGCTGGGTGTGGTGGCGCGTGCCTGTAATCACAGCTACTCGGGAGGCTGAGGCAGGAGAATCACTTGAACCAGGGAGTCGGATGTTACAGTGAACTGAGATGGTGCCACTGCACTCCAGCCTGGCGGTAGAGTGAGACTCTGTCTCAAAAAAAAAAAAAAGAAAAAGAAAAGAAAAGAAAAAAAGTTACGTCTTCATAGGACAGGAATCCAGGCAGAAAGAAAGGGAGTGGGAGCAAAAGGCAAGAAAATATTTCCCAGAATTCAAGTGGGCAGAAGTAGACCTTAAACCCATCCCCAGGTCCATCAGTTGCAGGCATCAGGGTTGTTATAGACATGATTTATTTCCAGAAGTGGGCACATTGATGTCTAAACAAAATTGGGGATCTGAAAGCCATCGGGAATGGGGGAATGACTTTGGGGAGAAACTTCAGGGTCTGCCAGACTTTGTTTTCTGTTGCTTATAACGTAATACCTAAAACTGGGTAATTTGTGTTTTTTAAATTTATTTTTATTTTTATTTTACTTTAAGTTCCGGGATACATGCGCAGAACGTGCAGGTTTGTTCCATAGGTATACGTGTGCCATGGTGGTTTGCTGCACCTATCAACCCATCATCTAGGTTTTAAGCCTCGCATGCATTAGCTGTTTGTCCTGATGCTCTCTCTCCCCTCCCCGTCCCCCGACAGACCCCAGTGTGTCATTCCCCTCTCTGTGTCCATGAGTTCTCATTGCTCAACTACCATTTAAGAGTGAGAACATGCAGTGTTTGGCTTCCTGTTCCTGTGTTAGAAACTGGGTAATTTGTAAAGAAAAGGAATTTATTTCTTACATTATGAGGGCTAAGTCCAAGGTCAAGGTGCTATATTTGGCTAGGGCCTTCCTGCTTGCTGGTGGGCACTCTCTCCAGAGTCCCAAGATGGTGCAGAGCATCACATGGTGAGGGGGCTGAGAGTGCTGGCTCAGGTCTCTCTTCCTCTTCTTTAAAGCCACCAGTCCCACTCCTATGATAACCCATTCATTCATTAACCCATTAGTCCATGAATGGATCAATCTATTTATAAGGGCTGACCCTCATGACCCAATTACCTCTTAAAGGTCCCACCTCTCAGTACAGCCACATTGGGGATTAAGTTTCAACAGTAGTTTGAGAGAGGACAAGCACTCAAACCATAGCACAGACCATTCATCCTTCGATGCTCAGATCAGGCACCATCCCCTACCCCAACTGTCTCCTCACCACACCAACTGCCATGGTCTCTCTTTTCACAGAATTCCCACAGGTATTGCCTCTATGTAATGATTTGTAAATTGTAAATGATTTACTAGCCTTAAATCATTTACTGTCTTATGAGTTTTCAAGCCTGTATCTTTTCATCAGAAATCTATTGCGAGTGTCTTGTGCATAGAAGCTATGTCTTACGCATTGCTTGTCTCTCACATCTAGTATAAGGTAGACACACAGTGAATGTTTGCTTAAGACACAGAATGGCACCTGGTCAGCACAGTCCCCCGATAGGCTATATGGTTACAGTCCTCTCTCTCGGATACCTAAACTCCTCATCAACCCTTTTCTCAAACACATAAAGGGGAGATTTGAAAAATTAGTAGGTTGTTTTGAAAATGATGAGTATTTAAAATTGTTTTTATTTACTTATTTATTATTATTATTTTTTAAGACGGAGTCTTGCACTGTTGCCTGGGCTGGAGTACAGTGGTGCTATCTCAGCTCACTGCAGCCTCTACCTCCTGGGTTCAGGCGATTCTCCTGCCTCAGCCTCCTGAGTAGCTGGGATTACATGTGCCCGCCACTGCGCCCAGCTAATTTTTTTATATTTTTAGTAGAGATGGGGTTTCACTATGTTGGCCAGGCTGGTCTCAAACTCCTGACCTTGTGATCTGCCCATCTCGGCCTCCCAAAGCGCTGGGATTACAGGCATGAGCCACTGCTCCCAGCCTAAAATTATTTTTGTAATACATGATATGCAACATCAGTAGACCTTGAAAACAGAGCCTGTTCTTCTGAGGTTAAGAGAAGTCTAATTCTGAGCAAAGTAGTTTAAAAGACTGTGGCTTGGTAATATGGCATCTTTCCTTCTATTGTAAAGAATTAAAAAAAGAAAAAGCATTTTCCATTCATCACTTCAGTGGTATTATTTGACACATTGAGATAATGATACCAGTTAAAAAGAAATGTTGAGAATCCAACAGACCAAATCGTTGGATGAAGAGCTGTGTTTTGGGTGTAAACATGCAATTATGGCTTTCAAAATAACAAGCACACATTTCAATAAGATGGGCTGAGAAAGCAGCAGGATTATAAGCTGTTCTAGAATATAGTAAGTGGGTTGGAGAAGAGAGAAGGGAGACTGGGGCATCGGGTGGGAGACGGTGTTGAGATGTTCAGCCCACTCCTAGGACCTAAGCAATCTGTTTGTTGTTCGTTTCTTGTAAGATCATACCATAGAGTAATGAAGTTTTACTTCAAGAAAATACATCAGAATTGTATACATCAACCCCAAGGAGAAAAATTACTTATTAGTGTGATAAGTCAGATACTACACTGGGTAATTCACACACATCACTATTTTGTAATTCTTCTAGCAATTCAACAAAATAGGTATTATTACCCCATTGTACTGATGGAAACACTGATTGTGCGGTTGGCCAAGCTTACAAAACAGTGGCAGACCTGGGATTCTTCCCCACAGCTGGCCGATTCTAAAACCTGGGTTCTTCCCTGCATTTCTCCTAATGCAGTGGTTTTTTGCCTTGACTGCAGATAAGAATCACTTGGAAGCTTTAAATACCGTTCCTACCCAGGCCACACACCAGACCAATTTAATTAGAATATCTGGGGTTCATCTTGCAATTTGCTCATTATGAAGCTTAGTTTGTTTTTGTTGCTATAAAGGAAATACCTGAGGCTGGGTAATCTACAAAGAAAAGAGGTTTATTTGGCTCATAGTTCTGCAGACTGTACAAGAAGCATGGTGCCGGCATTGGCTTCTGGGGAGGGCTTCAGGGAGCTTCCACTCTGACAAAGAAGAAAGGGAGCAGGCATCATGTGGCAAGAGAGGAAGGAAAAGAGATAGGGGAGGGCGGTGCCAGACTCTTCAACATCCAGATCTCACAGGAACTAGAGTGAGAGCTCACTCAATGCCACAAGAATGGCACCAAGCCATTATAAGGGATCCACCTCATGACCCAAATACCTCCCACCAGGCTCCACCTCCAACATCAGGGATCAAATTTCAATATGAGGTTTGGAGGGGACAAATACCCAAACTATTAATATACCAGAGGCCTTGGGAAATTATGAATGAAAAAAAGTATATAAATGGAAAATTACAGAAAACAGCATAATGAGCTTACCTCCCAGCTATATCCAATCTCAGTCAAAAGTTGTGCTATATTAGTTTATTTCTCTTAATAATTAACTTTGTACCCCTTTCTTACCCTGTTATCCTCTCTCTTCAGAGTTATTTATCATTCTTCTGTGCACTGTATTGCCTTACTACGTATGTATTTACTAAAGTGTAGGTGATTTCTAACTTTGTGTAAATGGTACATATACCACACAACTTTCTGTAACATGATTGTTTTTGTTGTTGTTTCACGTTATGTTTTTGAGATTTATCCATGTTGACACAAGTAGCTGTGTGGTATTCCATTGCATATACCACAAATGTGGTTTTTCCAACCTTTCACTTCCACCAATGTTATCAAAACAGTTTCAGGGCCAGGCGCAGTGGCTCACACCTGTAATCCCAGCACTTTCAGAGGCCAAGATGTGAGGATTGCTTGAGCCCAGGAGTTTGAGACCAGTC